>NC_000003.12:162493452-162796483 GCF_000001405.40 Homo sapiens
TGAAGTACTCATTGTGAGTGATCTGGCACCAGATGGTAAAATATTTAATATAGAGATAATTAGATACATTTTGAGCAAAAGAACTGAGTTGAACTAAATTGTATTCCTTACTTTAAGGTCTGTAAAACAAGAATATTTTCAAATATACAACATATGTTTCATAGTTCTTTTCCAAGATTTATTTCTATAAAACCACAGTGACAAAAAATAACACCCACGGAAGTTTCCAAGTGTTATTTAGATGTTGTAGGTACAATGCGATAGTGTTTAGTTTTTGTGTGATCTTTCATACTATTTTTTGTCTAAATGTCTATTAGCATTGACTCCAAATAACCTGAAAATTAAATAATTTATTTGAAAAAACTGGCACCAGAGAAAGCTTGGTGGAGCTCAAGAAAACGTGAGTGAAAAATCCAAAAATTTGTTTGATTGAATATTTTTGCCAAATCATAACTAAATTCAAGTGGTATTGTACTCCTAACAAAGAATGACTGAGAATGCCAAGATCAATATTAAAGAGCTGTAGGCATTATAGTAAGATATAACAATCCAAAACCTTAAAAAAGCTATGAGGAAAGAAAATAAGTGGGTTATAAGGAACAAAACCTAGAAGAATAAAGTGTGAAAATATACAACTCTTGTCATTTTGATATCCATTCCATGAAATTATGGTGAATTCTATCTACTACAGGGACTTACATATTTTATTTGAAGTCTTGAATAAAAATTTCTTTTAAAAATTGCCTTTTTCTGTAAAACTTGAGATCTTTAGTCAGAACATGTGAATCCAAGAATCAATCTTTTGAAATTTCACTGTTCTATTGATTACTATTAACCAATAACATCCTTTCTATTTGGAGTTCAAGGGATACATTGCTTTGATTTCTCTTCCAAAAACCAGGTGTTCAAGTTTTAGGTCATATAAGAGTTGTTTATAGGAAGTTAATGAAGTTTATAGGAAGTTGCTCACTCATGTTGATGATAAGACTGAATATGTTGTTTGATTCCCTTGCAGTTTTTGGCCATATCTCACTATAATAAGGTAGAATCTAGAAATTATGTCGATATTTACGGATGCCAGTGATATGATTTGGCTCTGTGTCCCCACTCAAATTTCATCTTGAATTGTAATAATCCCCACGTGTCAAGGGCAGGACTAGGTAGAAATAACTGAATCATGGGGGCTGTTTCCCCCATACTGCTCTCGTGATAGTGAGTTCTCATAAGATCTGATGGTTTTATAAAGGGTTTCCTGCTTTGATAGCTTCTCATTTCTCTCTCCAGCTGCCCTGTGAAAAGGTGCCTTCCACCATGATTATAAGTTTCCTGAGGCCTACCCAGCCATGCAGAACTGTGAGCAAGTTAAACATCTTTTTTTTCATAAATTACCCATTCTCAGGTATTTCTTCATACCAGCATGAGAACAGACTAATACACAGGGTATGATCCCCTGCTAACTTACAAGTGAAAGCTGATACTACTCTAAAGGAGTAAATCTCTTTGATGTTAGTCAATAAAATCATCTTAATCCACATCAGTTTGAGGATCTCTGAGGGTTTTGCTAATTTTAGTTTCAAAATTCCACTTATTTTATTCATCCTCAATATTGGAGATGGAACAGACAGGGGATCTTCTCAACAGGTGGCAAGTATTTATAAACTATAGCTGCAGTAAAATGGATGCCTTGTAGCTGCAGAGACAAGTTGGAATTTTCCAATCATGGCAGAAGGGGAAGGGGAAGCAAGTCACCTTCTTCACAAGGTGGCACAAAGGAGAAGTGGCTAGAGAAGTGGGAAGAGCCCCTTATAAGACCATCATGTCTCATGAGAACTCACTCAGTATCACAATACAGCATGAGGAAAGGTGTCCCCATGATACAATTACCTCCACCTGGTCTCTCCCTTAACACGTAGGGATAATGGGGATTATGGGGATTATTCAAGATGAGCTTTGTGTGAGGAAACAAAGCCTAACTCTATCATTCTGCACTGGCCCCTTCCAAATCTCATGTCCCTTATGTCAATCATGCATTGCAATCTGTCTTGCAAAGTCTTAATTCATTCCAGCATTAACTCAAATGTCCAAGTCCAAAGTCTCATCTGAGTCAAGGCAAGTCCCTTCTGCCTATACACCTGTAAAACCAAAATCAAGTTAATTACTTCCTAGATACAGTGGGGGTATAGCAATGAGTAAATACACCCATTCCAAATGGGAGAACTTGGTCAAAATAAAGGGGCTACAGGCCTCATGCGTTTGAAAGCCAGTGGGGTAGTCAAATGCCAAAGCTCTGAAACCGTCTTTTCCAACTCTATGCCTCACATCCAGGTCATGCTGATGTAAGAGATGGGCTCCCACAGCCTTGGGCAGCTCTGCCTCTGTGGCTTTGCAGGGTACAGCCTCCCTCCTGACTGCTTTCAATGGGCTGGCATTGAGTGCCTATGGCTTTTCTAGGTATACAGTGTAAGCTGTTGGTGGATCTAACATTCTGGGGTCTGGAGGACAGTAGCCCTCTTCTCAGAGCCCCACTAGGTTGTGCCCCAGTATTGACTCTGTGTGGGGGCTCTGACCCCACATTTCTCTTCTGTACTGCCCTAGAAAAAGTTCTCTATAGGAGCTCCACAGCAAATTTCTGCAGCGAATTTCTGTCTGGACATCCAGAAATTCTTGTAATCCTCTAAAATCTAAGTGGAGTTTCCAAACCTCAATTCTTTACTTCTGTGCTCCTGCAGGCCCAACACCACGTGAAAGCAGCCAAGGCTTGGGGCTTGAACCCTCTGAAGCAACAACCTGAGCTGTACCTTGTCCCATTTTAGCCACGGCTTGAGTGGCCAAGACATAGGGCACCAAGTCCAAATACTGCACAAAGCAGCAAGGCCCTGGGCCCAGCCGACTAAACCATTTTCTTTCTAGGCCTCCAGACCTATAATGGGAAGTGCTGCCATGAAGAATTCTGACTTGTCCTGGAGACACTGTCTTGTCCATAATATTTGGCTCCTTGTTATTTATGCAAATTTCTCCAGCTGGCTTGAATTTCTTCCCAGAAAATAGGTTTTTCTTTTCTATTGCATCGTCAGGCTGCCAATTTTCCAAACTTTTATTCTCTGCTTTCCTTTTAAACATAAGTTCCAATCCCAAACCATCTCTTTATGAATGTGTAAAACTGAATGCTTTTAAGAGCACCCAGGTCATATCTTAAATTTTTTGCTGCTTAGAAATGTCTTCCGCTAGATACCCTAAATTATCTCTCTGAAGTTCAATGTTCCACAGAACTCTGGGGCAGGGGCAAAATGCTACCAGTCCCTGTGCTAAAGCATAGCAAGAATCATCTTTATTCCAGTTCCCAAAAAGTTCCTCATCTTTATCTGAGACCAATTCAGCCTGGACTACATTGTCCATATCACTTACAGCATGTTGGTCGAAGCCATTCAACAAGTCTCTAGAAGTTTCAAACTTTTCCACACCTTCCTGTCTTCTGAGCCTTCCAAACTGTTCCAACCTTTGCCTGTTATCCAGTTCCAAAGTTGCTTCTACATTTTTCGGTACCTTTATAGCAGTACACCATGCCCCGCAGTACCAATTTACTGTATTAGTCCATTTTCACACAGGTATAAAGAACTGCCAAAGACTGGATAATTTATAAAGGAAAGAGGTTTGATTGACTCGCAGTTCTGCATGGCTGGGGAGGCCTCAGGAAAGTCACAATTGTGGTGGAAGGGGAAGGGGAAGGGGAAGCAGGGCACCTTCTTCACAAGGCAGCAGGAAGAATGAATGCAGGAGGAGCTACCAAACACTTATAAAATCACCAGATATCATGAGAACTCACTCATTATTAGGTAAACAGCATGGGGAAAACAGCCCCCGTGATCCATTTACCTCCACCTGATCTCTCCCTTGACACATGGAATTTATGGGGATGAAATTTGGGTAGGAACACAAAGCCTAACCATATCAGTTTTTATCCCAAGGCTATATGGACATATGTTTATCCTTTTTCAGGTAATGAAACAGTTGTAGCTAGGTTTAAAATATTACAATAATAAATATAAATGGATAGAGGAGAAAATAAATAGGAGGAAATCCTAATTGTTCAGAAATTTTGGCTGATCCTGCTATTGCAAGATGGTTAGCTTTATGTCACTGGGTAAAGAAAACTATGATAAGTTCTGGTCTCTAATGATTCCCATAAAGATGAGTTAGCACACTAAGTACTTGACCAGGTTAATAGATTAATACATTTTAAAATATCATCTCATTTTTAGGATGTGTCAAATTCATGTCTAAGTTGGATTTAAAAATAATCTCAGGCAACTTTGAGGCCTTTAGCATCCTGTTTTAGGACTTGGGAAATTTAGAAGGATACCATAGTAAATAACTGAAGCACAGACCATTATTTGTTAGCTCTCTGTATGTAGAGGACCACCTAAAAAATCAGAACTATAAAATAATGGTACTAGAGATAGCATAGTATTTGATTCTACTACCAGTGAAAAGAAAAAATGGCTGTTTATTTATAGACCAGAGATCCTAAAACAATACAGCTTCTTGGATTTTTCAGCTGGATGAAGAGAGGTTTTATTAGAACTGGTACAAATTATGATGAGTCCATTTCCTATTAAGCTATTGACTATTGGTTTTAGTCTTGTTAACTTCTGAATTTTGATAGCTTCAGCCCTAATAGTTTTGTCAATATAAGTAGGAAATTCAATTTGTCTCCCAAAATAATCTAAATATAATAGAATAAGAAACTACCATACCTAAGGCAGCTTTTGAGAAAAGGGATGAAATGAGAAATATTATGCTCCTACTTAGACTCCATTTTTAAAAGTCTGTGATAAATAATAACTATCTTAAATAACAGCTTAATTTTCATTATTATAAACTAAAGAATCTCTTTGGTTTAGGTGATCAGTGTATATATATATATATACATAAATATTCATATGACATATATATGAGATATGTGTGTATATATATGTATATAGCTATTTTGATCTATAAGCAGAATTGTTTGATGCAAAATGTTGTTTATCAAATTTCTGAAATTATATTTAATTATCTGTACAAGACTTTCTGTTTTATTTATAATCATTCTAATGTATATAAAAAGATTTGCTTACATGTGTTCACTTAAAATGTATATTGCTTTGCACTTATATTTTTTAAATTTGTATACATTTATATATACATTTTAATGTATTATACATTTACAGATGGTCACAGACTTACATTATTTTGACTTATGATTTTTCAGTTTTACAATGGTGTGAAAACAATACTCATCCAGTAATTCTTTAACTTTCAGGAGGGTTATTTCATGATAAAACTCAAGTTGAAAGTATCACAAGTCAAAGGTTAGGATATTTTGAACTTACCATGGGTTTACCCAGATGCAGGCCCATTGTAAGTCAAGAACCATCTGTATATATGTATGAATGTATAATACTATTTTTTTCTTACTCAACAGCACGATTTAACAATTAATTTGGGTTGCCACGTGTATCTCATTGTTTACTTCTAACTCTTGCATAGTAATCTGTGTCATGCACCTGCTACATTTTGCCTCTCAACCCACTGATAGAAACCTACGATGTGGCCTACTCTTCATCACCTAATACAAAGAATGTTGTGATAAATATACTTTTCTATGTACAGTAGTTATTAAATATCCAGGGCAATTTGTTCCAGGAAAGCCTGTGGATACCAAAATCCATGGATGCTCAAATCTTTTATAAAATAGCATAGTATTTATATATAACCTATGAATATTCTCCTGTATGCTGTAGGTCATTGCTAGATTACTTATAATACCTAATACAATGGAAATGCTATGTACATATTTGTACTATTTTTATCTATATTATTTATTGTTGCATTGTTGTGTTTTCTGTTTTTTGTGTGTGTGTGTTTGTTTGTTTTTTTGTTTGTTTCTTTTTTGAGACGGAGTCCCGCTCTGTTACCCAGGCTAGGGGTGTGATCTCGGCTCAATGCAACCTCCACCTCCCTGGTTCAAGCAATTCCCCTGCCTCAGCCTCCTGAGTAGCTGGGATCACAGGCACATGCCATCATGCCTGGTTAATTTTTTTTGTATTTTTAGTAGAGACAGGTTTTCACCATGTTGGCCAGACTGGTCTCGAACTCCTGACCTCAGGCAACCCGCCTGCCTCGGCCTCCCAAAGTGTTGGGATTACAGGCGTGAACCACTGCACCCAGCCTGTTGCGTTTTCAATTCACGGTTGGTTGAATCCATGAATGCAGAACCCATGGATATAGAAAGCTGATTATATTTATTTATCTATAGGAGAATTTCTTACAGATATTCAGCAGTATCAGCATTAATAATGCTTGTAATATTTAAGAACACTTAATTTAACCAAGTTCTAAGAGAATAGCTGCATCTATTATATTCTCTATAGCTATACCTGAGAGTTTCTACACCCATCCCTGCTAGTACTTTGAATAATTTGTCTCAATTTTTTGATAATTTAATTGGCATAAAATGTTTCATTGTTTTGGCTTGCTCTACTCTGATTATTGGTGGTTTTGATCATCTATTCATATTCCTATTTGCCTTTTGGATTTCTTTCTCTATATCTACCATTTGTGCAAATATTTGCCCCTAAATTTTTTAAGTGGAAATTCTCATTTTATGCTTACCAGTTTGCAGGAATCTCTTGTGTTTCTTCCCAACAGTTTCAGAAATTGCAAATATTTTTCCACAATGTATTCTAGGTCTGTAAACTTTGTCTATAATGTCATTTATTAAAGGAGTTATTAAGGCACTAAGAAGATATTAGTTTTGATATTATTAGCAGTTGCTTTTTCTAAGAGTTTGTATTTTAAAATTTAGGAAATCCTTTTTTGTTTTTATTTTATAAAATATATATTTCAAAGCTTAATATTATAATTACATTGACATTTAGGTTACATTTAGATTGTTATTCCCTTTATGATTAATCTGTGTATCTACTATTAGGAGATTTTAAGTATTTCCCTTTTTTCCAAAACAATTTACTACATCTGTTCTTTAATAATTTTTAGATTACATTTATTACATATTATTCATTATTATACATGTAATTATATTTCTTAGTTGGCTTCTTATTGGTTCTGTTGGTCTGTTTATCTGCTTCTGTGCCATTTCCACAAAATTGTTGTTCGTTTTGGTTGTCTGTAATCAGGAAAGTAATCTCTCTCCCTCTTGTTTTCTTGTTAATTTTTTCAAGATTAATTAATCTGTATATGGACCTTTATTTTCTGTATAGGATATGTTATGTGAGAACACTTGAAAATCAAATTGGAATTTTGATGAGATTGCTATTCGGTATAATTTACCTAATATAATAGAATAATATAATTAACCTAGTATAATTAATCTATATAATATTAATTTTATCTAAGTGTTTGAATTGACTCTTCTTTTATTATGAGCATTTTCTATGAAATTTTTGACAGTTTAAATCTTTTCTGCATAGATATTTACACATTTATTTTTGTATTAACTTGTAGGAACTTGATAGGTTTTGCTAATATAGCAGTCTCATTTTGTTATTATATTCCATAAATGGTAATTAATTATGAACAGATATACTATTACATTTATAAGTTGATTTTGTGTCTGCTAATGTCATTGAACTCATCAGGTGTAATAGTTTTTCTATTGATTGATATAGGTAAATGATAATAGTCTGCAAATAACAACAATCTTAATTCTACTCTTAAGGTAATTAAACCTATGACTTATTTATTTCCAAAAAACTTTGTCCATAATTTTGGTGCTGTTAGTAATGGAAGAGCATGTTTCCTTTTATTATTTTAATTGTTGCTGGATGTTTTGTTAGTTTTTTAAGGCTTTTTTTTTTCAACTCAATGGAAAACACATGAAATTTTTCCATTACATTTGTTTTTGTTTTTTAATTAATTAACTTTAATTTTTAGAGCCACTTTATGTTCACAGCAAAATTGAATAGAGTACAGAAAGGTCCTGTATAACCCCTTCCCCTACTCATGCACAGTCTTGCCCACTATTGACATTGTGCACCAGAGTGGTTCATTTGTGATTAGTGATTATCTTATACTGACACATCACCATCACCACTCAAAGTTCATAGTTTACATTAGGGTTAACTTTTAGAGCTGTACTTTCTATGGGTTTTGACAAATGTATAATGACACACATGTACTACTGTAATATTGTGCAATATAGTTTCCCTAACCTAAAACTCCCCTATGTCCTCCCTCCTCAGTAACCTTTGACAACCATTACGTTTTTATTATCTTCATAGTTTTGCATTTTCCAGGATTTCATATAGTTGGAGTCATGCATTATGTAGCCATATTAAAGTTCTCCAGAAAACCAGAACCAATGAGATAGATTAGATATATACATATAGATAGATAGATAAATAGATAGATAGATAGATAGATAGATAGATAGATAGATAGATAGATTGATTGATTGATTTATTGTGAGGAACTGGGAATCTCACAATGGAATTACACAATTATGGAGACCAAGAAGAAGTTCCACAATATGCCTTCAGCAAAGTGGTATGTAATTCAGCCCTGTTCTGAAGGCCTGCAAATCAGGGGAGCTGATGTAAAATCAAGTCCGAGGGCAGGAGAAGATATTTCCCAGCTAAAGTCATGAGTAAGGAATAAAGGGGTATTCCTTCTTTCTCTGCCTTTTGTTCTCTTCAGGCCCTCAATGCATTAGATGATGTCCAACCACATTGGGGAGGAAAATCTGCTTTATTAAATCTATTGATTCAAATGCTAATCTCACCCAGAAATACCTTCACAATCACATCCAGAAACAATGTTTCATATTAGCACCCCATGGCCCACTCAAGTTGATACATAAAAGTAATCATCAAATGCAATCAAATTAGAACTCGGGATTAAGAAACTCACTCAAAACCACACAACTATATGGAAACTGAACAACCTGCTCCTGAATGAATACTGGGTAAATACGAAATTAAGGCAGAAATAAATAAATTCTTTGGAACCAATGAGAACAAAGGCACAATGTACCAGAATATCTGGGGCATAGCTAAAGCAGTGTTAAGAGGGAAATTTACAGCACTAAATGCCCACATCAGAAAGCAGGAAAGATCTAAAATCGACAACCTAAGATCACAGTTGAAAGAACTAGAGAAGCAAGAGCAAACAAATTCAAAAGCTAGCAGAAGACAAGAAATAACTAAGATCAGAGCAGAACTGAAGGAGATAGAGACACGAAAAACCCTTCAAAAAATCAGTGAATCAAGGAGCTGGATTTTGAAAAGATTAACAAAACAGACTGCTAGCCAGACTAATAAAGAAAAGAGAGAAGAATCAAATAGACACAATGAAAAACAATAAAGGGGATATTACCACTGATTCCCACAAAAATGCAAACTACCATTAGAGAATACTATAAATACCTCTATGCAAATGAATGATAAAATCTAGAAGAAATAGATAAATTCCTGGACAGGTACACACTTCCAAGACTAAACCAGAAAGAAGTCGAATCCCTAAACAGACCAATAACAAGTTCTGAAATTGAGGTAGGAATTAATAGCCTAACAACCAAAAAAAGCCCATGACCAGATGGATTCATAGCTGAATTCTACCAGAGGTACAAAGAGGAGCTGGTACCATTCCTTCTGAAACTATTGCAAACAATAGAAAAAGAGAGACTCCTCCCTAACTCATTTTATGAGGTCAACATCATCCTGGTACCAAAGCCTGGCAGAGACACCACAAAAAAAGAAAATTTCAGGCCAATATTCCTGATGAACACCAGTGAAAAAATCCTTAATCAAATACTGACAAACCAAATCCAGCAGCACATCAAAAAGCTTATCCACCGCAATCAAGTCAGCTTCGTCTCTGGGAGGAAAGGCTGGTTCAACATACACAAATAAATAAACGTAATCCATCACATAAACAGAACCAATGACAAAAACCACATAATTGTCAATAGATGCAGAAAAGGTCTTTGATAAAATTCAACACCCCCTCATGCTAAAAACTCTCAATAAACTAGGTATTGATAGAACATATATCAAAGTACTAAGAGCTATTTATGACAAACCCATAGATAATATACCGAATGGGCAAAAGCTGGAAGCATTTCCTTTGAAAACCGGCACAAGACAAGGATGCCCTATCTCACCACTCCTATTCAACATAATATTGAAAGTTCTGGCCAGGGCAACCAGGCAAGAGAAGGAAATAAAGCGTATTAAAATAGGAAGAGAGGAAGTCAAATTCTGTCTGTTTGCAGATGACATGATTGTATTTTTTGACAACCCCATCATCTCAGCCCCAAATCTCCTTAAGCTGATAAGCAACTTCAGCAAAGTCTAAGGATACAAAATCAATGTGCAAAAATCACAAGCATTCCTATACACCAATAATAGACAAACAGCCAAACCATGAGTGGACTCCCATTCACAATTGCTACAAAGAAAATAAAATACATAGGAATAAACTTACAAGGGACATGAGGGACCTCGTCAAGGAGAACTACATACCATCATGTAAGAAAATAAGAGAGGACACAAACAAATGGAAAAACATTCCACGCTCATGAATAGGAAGAATCAATATCGTGAAAACGGCCATGCTGCCCAAAGGAATTTATAGATTCAGTGCTATCCCCATCAAGCTACCATTGACTTTCTTCACACAACTAGAAAAAACTACTTTAAATTTCATATGGAACCAAAAAAGAGCCTGTATAGCCAAGACAATCCTAAGCAAAAGAACATAGCTGGAGGTGTCACATTACCTGACTTCAAACTATACTCCAAGGCTACAGTAACCAAACAGCATGGTACTGGTACCAAAACAGATACGTAGACCAATGGAATAGAACAGAGACCTCAGAGATAATACTACACATCTACAACCATATGTTATTCAACAAACCTGGCAAAAATAAGCAATGAGGAACGTATTCCCTATTTAATAAATGGTGTTGAGAAAACTGGCTAGCCATATGCAGAAAACTGAAACTGGACCCCTTCCTTATACTTTATACAAAAATTAACTCAAGAAAGATTAAAGACTGAAATGTAAAACCTAAAACCATAAAAACCCTAGAAGAAGACCTAGGCAATACCATTCAGGACATAGGCATGGGCAAAGACTTCATGACTAAAACACCAAAAACAGTGGGAACAAAAGCCAAAATTGACAAATGGGATCTAATTAACTAAGAGTTTCTGCACAGCAAAAGAAACTATCTTCACAGTGAACAAGCAACCTACAGAATGGTAGAAAATTTTTGCAATCTATCCATCTGACAAAGGTGTAATATCCAGAATCTACAAGGAACTTAAACAAATTCACAAAAAAAAAAAAAGCAAAAAACAACCCTATCATAAAGTGAGCAGACATTTTTGTCTTCTTTTTTTAAATTGGATTAAATTTTTAACTTGGATTCTTTTCTCATTTTTTAATTGGATTACTTTCTTATTGTTATGTTTTAAGTCTTCTTTATATATTTTTGATAATAGTCTTATATCAGACGTGTCTTCGCAAATATTTTCTCCCAGTCTTTGGCTTGTCTTCTAATTATCTTACATTGTTTTTAACAGAGTAGAGTTTTCAATTTAAATAAATTCTAGATTAAGCATAATTCCTTTCTATATTTTTATAGGTTAAATTGGCTTCTTACAGTCATTTAAAACTTATTTAGTGTATGTTCTGGACCTATATCAACTGTTTTTTTTTTTATTTATTTTTTGAAGTTGAGTTTTGCTCTTGTTGCCCAGGCCGGAGTGCAATGGTGTGATCTCAGCTCACCGAAACCTCTGCCCACCGCAACCTCTGCCTCACGGGGTTCAAGCGATCCTCCTGCCTTAGCCTCCTGAGTAGCTGGGATTACAGACATGCACCACCACACCCAGCTAATTTTGTATTTTTAGTAGAGATGGGGTTTCTCTATGTTGGTCAGGCTGGTCTTAAACTCCTGGCCTCAGGTGATCCTCCTGACTCAGCCTCCCGAAGTGCTGGGATTACAGGTGTGAGCCACTGCACCCGGCCTATAAACTGCTTTAATTAAGCATGTTTTTCTTTGACTTAGATGAAAATGAAGCATTGCTATCAAGAATATTTTTGGTTATTAAAACAGAAATAATCTCTTTTATATACATGAGGGTTTTTTTGACATTTATAATTCCTGGACTTTATTTTACATTATATAACTCAACAAAATGCAATAAAAATTCAGGATCTAATAAGTGGCAACATCTCAATATCCACAGAATTTTCATATTTATCCAGGTAGAATTGATAAACAGAAAATTCCACAAGAACCATAAATTATTTAACACATACACACACACACTCAAATTTAGGACAAATCATTTTTTAAATTTTAGTATTATTATACTAATTAGATTTGGACATTATTTACATATTATATGTAAAAACATTACTCCTTTAACTGATTAAGTCTCATTCTTATTACCATTAATTTACATTTTGATCTCAATTTCTAAGTGAAAGTAAAATAAAAAAAGAGTGATTTGTATCATATAGGCAGCCCTTCCTATAAACACCATAAACAATAAAAATTTAATATGTGCCAAATCTACCAACTTGGTTTGATTTATTGGTTATTTATTAGAAAGAACTATTTAAAGATGGAAAAATGGGCTGGGCATGGTGGCCCACCCCTGTAATCCCAACACTTTAGGAGGCCACGGTGGCCGGATCATGAGGTCAGGAGTTGGATACCAGACTGACCAATATGGTGAAACCCTGTCTCTACTAAAAATACAAAAATTAGCCAAGCGTGGTGATGCATGCCTGTAATCACAGCTACCCGTGAGGCTGAGGCAGGAGAATTGCTTGAACCCAGGAGGCTGAGGTTGCAATGAGCCGAGATCGCGCCACTGCACAGGGCGAGACTCTCTCTCAAAAAAAAGAAGGAAAAATGGGCTTACATTTTCACCTGTATAACATTATATTACAAATCATATGAGAGAAAAGAGAGACATAGCATAGACATATTTGTTTTTCCTGAAAAACACAGAACATATAAACAATCAAAACTATAATTCCAGAAACAATGTTGAAATACGGAATCTATATATATGTTAAGCTATCCATTTCTAAATATAGATATGAATTTACTAAAATTGACAGATATCTCAATAAAATTATTGATTATAAACTCAAGAAAGAATCTTATAGAAATACAAGAAATCATCACCATTACAATAAAACCAAGTATTCTGTAACTGGAAACTTCTGCTTGGATTCATAATATCCTATAACAATATTTAATACTATACAATAATGTATGTGGCTGTCTACAATGTCCTCAGGGAGAGAATATTCTAGCAATCTTATAGCTTTTCAAACTTTTATTGAAACATAAAGGCCACAGAAATTATTTTCAAATGTAAGAATTTAGGGAAGGTAGCTTCCATAAAATTTTCTCAAATGGTATAAGTAGGAAATTTGACACCAACTTACAAAGGACTAGAAATGTAATAATAAGTGTCAAAACACATTAAATCAATTTAACTAAAGGATTAAACTTGAATAGAATTTACCTTCTATAAACTATGAAGACAGTGGTAAACTAAAAATGTAACTAATAAAAGTCAGGCAAAAGAGAAAATATAAGAGATTGTATAATATCAATTTCCCTATATGTCAAAGCAGAAGGTCAAAATATGGTTGTAAAATCGAATCAATTATGTAATATATTCAAGGGTATCTGAAATTTTAAAGACAACAATGAAAAGAGCTAATAAGAATATATCCTAGTAAAATTAAGTGTTGGTAATAAGGATAATCAGAAGAAAAGGATGACACTAAATTTCATATTGTTTCTCATATGCAAAGTTCTTAAGTGAAGAGTAAATAAATGGACTGCTTTTAAGGTCACCAATAAAAGAAATAGAGTTAAACTAAAATAATGCCCATCATTTAAAAGGAAAATAAAAACATGGACAAAAAATAAATAAATTCTTAGAAGACTAAATAAAAGCTATATATCTCGTAAGTATATTGCCAAATAGAATGATAGAATTCAAACTAAATATATCATTTTATATAAATGAGATAATTTTATCTTTCAAAATTCATATATTATTTACAAAAGAAAATTCAATGGTAATGTGTCACACTGAGTCATAGCTAAAGCAAAGCTATGCAGAAGCTTGAATATTAAAATCCTAACTTTAAAAAAATCTTAAGATATTTGAGAATAGCTTCTCTGTGCTTTATAATGATGAAGAAAGCACCCCTTTAGCTAGCTTTATAATAATAAAGAAAGCACATCTTTAGATAGTTGTGTGAAACAGCCTATAACCTCCCTTAATGCATAGCACATCACCATAAGCCTCAAATTATCTCAACTTTTAGATAAAATATTCAGCCCTCAATCAAAAATGACTAAACCTATAAAGAGACCTGACTGTGTGGTAGAAAATCAGGCAAAATGATAGACAACATAAATAGGTAAACTTTGGATAAAGACAATGAAGACATCAAAATAACTGTGTTGCCTAGTTATCAGCAAAATAGAAGAGAAAATTGGTAATTTCAGCAGAAAACGGAAAACAATAAAAAGGAGCAAACAATTTTGGAACTGAAAATGTAATCATAAATATTAAGATCTATAATTTATGGATTTAATAGATTAGACCAAGCTGAGAACTGAATTATTAAATTGGAAAAAAAAAACAGGAGAAAATATGCCAACATAGATAATGTGAGATAAATAGATAACAATGGAGATACAAACAGAAATATAAAATGGGAATAAAAGTCATATGGGATGAAGTAAAAATTTCTAACATATGAATATAATTGCAATTCCAGAAGAGAAAAAAATAGTAAGTAAAAGCAATATGGGAAAGGTACGGATATTTTCCAAAACTAGTGAAGACATTTAATCACAGCTACAAGAAATACAATAAACACCAACTATAAAACATAATGATATTTTTCAATGTCCTGGCAATCAAAAGGGTTGGGGATAAGAAAAATGCCAATAAAAATAAACAAATTAAAACAAATCCAACAATACCAAGTGAAAAGAGTCTTCACAAATAAAGCTAAAATATTTTTTCTCAATTAAGCAAATAATTAGAAATTGGAAAGCAGTGGCCTCTGCCCCTTAAAAACATTAACTACTGATGTATCCAGCCAAAGAAAATAGGAAAATAACAGAAAATATATCCCAAAGGAAGTGGAAAGGAGAAAACATTGAGGGCAGAAAGTAGTGACATAGAAAACAAATATAAAATGGAATTTATTTAAAAAAGTGATTCTTAAAGAAGATCATTAATATTGGTAAGTATATGGCTAGAATTCTCAGCTAAAATGAAAGAAGGAATAAATAGCGAATACAAGATTACCAGAAAAGACTAATTATACATGCTACACATATTATAAACAAGGTTATACTAATACATTTGATAATTTAGATAAAATTAATATAATCTTGGAAAATATATATACATTGAAATTGCTATAGAATCAACAGAAAATGTGAATAACACTATACTAAATTAAGAAATAGAATATATAATCACAAACGTTCTCTCTTGTCCTCTTCTTTCACGCACAAGCGTCCAGGCCTATAATGTTTTATTTATGAATACTACCAAACATAAATATGTAAAGTAAGCTAAAATCTTCTTGAGGAATTAGTTAAGAAAGTAAAAATGTCATTTTGTTTTATAGAAAAATGTAGCCTCAATACAAACAGCATGTTTTTTTCTTAAAAGAAGAGAAAATTAGAGGGCAATATTACCTATAAGATTAGAGTCAAAAATCCCTAACAAAATATTTTCAAACCAATCACAGCAATATGTAAACAATAATAATAATAAATAACAATAGATTTGCATTTGATTTATTCCAAAAGTGCTGAATTGTATGAGTTTTTAAAAAACAAAGTAAATTATTATAATAACAGAAATATTAGGAAATAAACACGATATTTTCAGTAAAGGCAGACAAATGGTCAAAATTTAATTTTCATTTACAATAAATGCTTTTGACAAACTAGAAAAAGAGGAATGTTTCATAAACTCAACTAGTACCTGTATAGCCCTTGAAAATCTATAGCAAACATTTTATATGATAGTAAATATTTGATAGCTTCTACTCACAAGTTAAGGATAAAGCTATGGCCAATTTACTATTTCTATTGAGCATTGTAATTAGGGCAATACAACAAAAAAGTGTATAAAAATATATAAGGATCAGAAAGAAAAAACTGTTGTGAGCTAAACTGTGTCCCCGTACCTGCCCACCAATATTTATGCTGAACGTCTAACTCCTGGTACCTCAGAATGGGACCATATTTAGGCACAGGGTCTTCACAGAGCTAATTCAGTTAAGTTGAAGTCATTGAGATAGGTCCTAATTCAATATACTTGGTGTGATCACAAAAAAAGGAAATTTGGACACAGACATATATAGAAGAAAGATGATGTGAAGATATAGGGAGAGCACTTTTTGAACATGAAGATGTCCCCTATAAGCCAAGAGGAGAGACCTGGAGCAGTTCCTTCCCCAACAGCCCTCAGAACAAACCAGCCTCAAGATCACTATGACCTTGATCTTGAACTTCTAGTCTCCAGACTTACAGAAATATGAGAAGACGTATTTCTATTGTTTAAGCTATCCAACCTATGGCACCTTATTATGAGAAGCCTAGCAAACTAATGCATTATTTGATTATTGTATATATTGTACATTTTCATATAAAACATATACATAGGTAAATATCTAAAATATTTCACATGTAGATTACTAAAATAAGGGGGCTTAGTTAAGATGTTACGTACAAAATTAGGAACTATTAAATTAAAATAAATCATTTTTAAAATATAATTTAAAATATAAAAGGTCAAACACTCAAGAATAAATGTTATAACTATCTGTAAAACTTCTATAAAAAAGCATAAAATATAATTTTAAAAACTTTAGCCAAAGGTTGATGTCATCATCAGAGGCTAGAAGACTCAGTTATTTTTTTCAACCACTTTATGCAAAATCATTGATGATTCTTTTTGTAAATTTAAAAACCAATTTTATAATTTATTTGGAAAATTAAAGGGCCAATAACAGCCAAGACACTCTAGAAAAGCATATTAAGTGGATTTACTTTATCAGAAAAGAAGTGATATTTTAATCAAAGCTACAGTAATGAAAAGAAAGTGTGGTATTGGCCTAAGAATAGAATAACATATCAAAAAACAGAATAGAGTCCAGAAACATCCATCTATAAACATTTGAATGACAACCAAAATGGCACGACAGATTAGTGTAGAAAGGACAGGCTTTATCAAAAATGAGTCACGTTGATATAGTATTTTTTGACGTATCATGAATGTAAATTATCAGTCATGTATAAAATACAAAAGTCAGTTCTGGGGGGATTGAGGAACTATATGTGACAGGCAAAACCACAAAGATTTTAAAAGGTGAAAGAAGAATATCATTATGGTATATGTTTAGAAAATTCTTAAGTATGTCACCAAAAGAAAAAGAAAAGCTAACAGAGAAGAAAAGAGCTGATATTTAGATCTGCACTAAAATAAAGACATTTGTTCATCAAAAGACGCTAGAGAGTGAAAAGAGAAGATATAATGGTTTATAGGTGATTAGTAACGTACCATAAAAATCACGGTCCATATGTGGGCAGGAATTTGGACAGCTTTAGATACAGAAGATATCTAAATAGGTAATTGCCTTTGGCTCACGCCTGTAATCCCCGCACTTTGGGAGGCCGAGGTGGGTGGATCACAAGGTCAGGAGATCGAGACCATCCTAGCTAACATGGTGAAACCCCGTCTCTACTAAAAATACAAAAAATGAGCCGGGCGTGGTGGTAAGCACCTGTAGTCCCAGTTACTCGGGAGGTTGAGGCAGGAGAATGGTGTGAACCCGGGAGGCGGAGCTTGCAGTGAGCCGAGATCGCGCCACTGCACTCCAGCCTGGGCGACAGAGCAAGACTCCGTCTCAAAAAAAAAAAAAACAAAAAAAAACAAAAAAACAAAAACAAAAACAAAAACTTGTACATGTTTGGCATACAATAGGTTATGAGATACATTTATATAGTAAAATGGTTACCATAGTGACACAAATTAACATAACCCTCAAGTCACACGTTGAGTTACCCATTTTTTTCTACCTATAGCAAGAGTAGTAATAATCTACCTGTTTAGCAAAAATCCTGAATATATTATTTATAGTTCACGTGTTGTATATTAGGTCTTTAGATTTTTTTATTCTACAAATTTGCTACTTTGTGTCCTTTGAATGACATTTGTTCATTCCTCCCTCCACCCTCCCTCTGGGAACGTTTTATTCTCTATTTCTTTATATTTGACCTTTTTTTTTTTAAGATTCCACATATAAGTGACATCATGCCATTTTTTAATGTCTGGATTACTTCACTTAGTATAATGTCCTTGAGTTCCACCCATGTTTTGGCAATTCGTAGGATCTCCTCCTTTTTTAAGACTGGTTAATATTCTATTGTATATATATATACCACATTGCAGAATTTTTTACAGATAGATATTTATAATAATTCAGAGATTTGTCAAAGCAGTTAATTTCATCTCATTTTACAGATTAGGAAATACGAGTCAACATTGTTTAGGAACTGTTCAGAATTATAGAGGCTGTAAGTAACAAATCTTTCACACGAATCTTTTCTAAACTTTTATTGTCAGTTGAATGATTTGAGAATATTGCTGAAATTCAGATTCTGACTTACTACACCTGGAGTGGCATTCACCATTCTACATTTTTTTATAATCTCCCAGAAATAAGACTCAGGTAAATAAAATCACAGAGGAAGAAGGAGACATTACAACTGATACTGCAGACATTCAAAAGATTGTTAGAGACTACTGTAAACAACTATATTCCAATGAATTGGAAAACAGAGAAAAAAATGGATTAATTCCTAGATGCATACAACTGACAAAGATGATCCATGAAGAAGTCTGAAAGCTGAACAGACCAATAACAAGTAACATGATCGAAGCCACAATAAAAAGCCAGAATAAAAGTCACAAATACCAAGATTTGGAAGCAAAGTAAGTTCCTGTCCATTAACAGACTAATGGATAAGCAAAATGTGGTGCCTTTACGTAATGAAATACTATTCAGCCATAACAATGAATGAGATCCTATCATTTGCAAGAACATGGACAAAACTGGAGGTCATTATGTTAAGAGAAATAAGCCAGGCACAAAAAGACAAACCACATGTTCTTACTTATCTGTGGGAGCTATTAACTAAAACACTTGAACTCGTTGGGATAGAAAGCAGAATGATAATTACCAGAGCCTGGAAAAGGTCACTGGGGTTGAGAGGGTTGGGGGGTGGGAAGTGGGGATGGATAATGAGTATAAAATATAATTAGAAACAATAAATAAAATTTAGCATTTCATAGGATAATAGGGGAACTATTGTTATTAAAATTTAACTGTAAGTTTTAAAATAACTGAAAGATTATAATTGAGTTGTTTGTAACACAAAAGATAAATGCTTGAGGGGACGAGTACCCCATTTACCCTGATGTAGTTATTATGCAATGTATGCCTGTATCAAAATGTCCCATGTACCCTATAAATATATATACTTACTATGTAGGCACAAAAACTAAAAATTAAAATGTATATGTGAACATTTGAGTGTACACTGTGATACATCAAAAATCTTTTTGTGAACTACCTTCACTGCAGAGTGGTGTCACTCTGTGAACATTGATGTATTTAAACCTTTTAGTTCTTAATAAACAATGCAATCTGCTAAATTATATGATGTGACTGATTTGCATAAGTTTATCATTATCTGTTGAGGACTCAACCTCATTTTCGAATGTTTGAACAAGTTCATATTATAATAAGTAAACATTAAAAATTTTAATCTACTGGTAACAGATTTTCTCAAATAAATACATTTTAGCTATAATCACAGGATATTACGGATATCCTGCCATTTCTATCATCTAAATTTCAGTGTAATTTTGTAAAGCTCATTACTGAAAAGTAGATGGTTTACTAATTCACACTATCAAGAGTTTTCTTCATTTAGTGGATATCTTATCTATTAATACTACCCTATATGTCATATATGGTTATAAAATAAACAATGTACCCTAACATTTTAATAAGTATAAGCAAAGTTTTAGTCATTCTTATAAAACCATGCAATCTATTGATTTTATTATTATATTTTTTATGAATAGCTAGTAGATGTGACTGATTTTTCAACTATTCATATATATTTTGGGAAATAACTTACCTACAGGAAGAAAACTGAAAGTTGTAATACTATGAATTTAATAATGGAATTAAATATTGTCAGCAGACAATAAAAGATAGATGGTATTGTTCAAAAGATATATAGAAAAATAATTTTGTTGAGAACAGAAATTCAATTTATCAACATCACAGACATAATGATATTTTATGAGACAACTTAAGCATCTTTTTCAACGTTTTAACATAACAGTAGTAAAGAAGTTGCCTGCATTCAATACAATTGGAAGGGCACGCTATTTAAAAGGTATTGAAAACATAGCCATAATTTAGGTGAGGAAACAGGAAATTAAGAGGTCAGCACCAACTTGTGAAATATATTTTAGTCAATAAATGATATTGCCATATCTTGATATTAAATGAACTAAATGAATGTAAACTAGAAGTTAACTTTCTGAGAGATTATTTTTACAATAGTCACTATGGAAGTAACGAAGTTCCCATAGGTCATAGGTTATGGTTTCATTTTTATTTCTTTCCTTTTTTTTTTTTTTTTTTTTTTTTGAGTTGCAGTCTCGCTCTGTCATCCAAGCTGGAGTGCACTGGCGCGATCTCAGCTCACTGCAACCTCCGCCTCCCAGGTTCAAGCGATTCTCCTGCCTCAGCCTCCCGAGTAGCTGGGACTACAAGCGGGTGCCACCACGCCTGGCTAATTTTTTGTATTTTTAATAGAGACAGGGTTTCACTGTGTTAGCCAGGATGGTCTTGATCTCCTGACTTTGTGATCCTCCCGCCTCGGCCTCCCAAATTGCTAGGATTACAGGCGTGAGCCACCGGGAAGCACCACAACATATGGGAAATTCAAAGTTGGGCTGTAAATAATCAGATGACATTGATGTATCTTTGAATATAATCAGCATAAAAGATCGATAAAATGTGATCCTATCAGTTCGCGTCTAGATTTTACTGAATCTAACCTCTACCTGTTTATATTGTATTCAGTTAAGTATGTTCACAAACATAATAGCACACTCATATTTATTGAGTGTGTATGATGTGTCAGACACAATGTCAAATGGTTAAGATGTCAGACGCATAGCAGACAAGTTCTCTGTTCTTGCGTTTACAGCCTATAAAAGTAGACACAGGAGACAAATAATGTTAAGTGGTGAAAGTGGAAACAAACAATTTCAACATAATAGGGGAGTGTAAATTGTTGGTAGAGGAAATGAGAAGTTGGGAGGAAAATTTTTTAATGTGGGGCTCAAAGAGTAACTTTTCAGCTAAGAACCCAGGAGTAACTAGGCACTGATGAGATACAAGGATGTGTTGTTGAGATAACTGTGTGTCCTGGCATATTCTTAAGTGAGAAAGTATGTGATGTTCAGAGAAATGCAGAAAATTTAGGAACAAAGGTCACAGGGAGAAATGTGGTGGAAACAGGAGTGAATAAAGGTCAATCATACATGCTCCAAGCAGTAGGAAAGCTTGGAAGAATTCTAAGCTGGGAAGTGATACCACCAGATCTCTGTTTTAAGCGACGTTCTGACAGAGTGAGGAGGGTAGAATGGAGACGGGCAAAGGCACATGGGAGAATCAGAAGACCAAAGCCACAATTATGAGAAAAAAGAGTGAGAGTGGCACACGGAGATAGCAGCACCAGAGATGGAAATATGTGTGCTATTCTGAAGAGAGAAGATAAAGCAGCAAAGATGACTTACAGTTTTCTAGAAGAATAATGGGGCAATTCATTAAAATTGGAATTACTGAAGAAGGGTTTAGACTTGAAGATTATGTATTGAGTTTTGGATACTTTGAGTTTGGGGTGAATGTGAAACATTTAAGTGCAGGTTCCAGTAAGTTAGGGGTGCACTTTAGTCTGGAGTGCTGAGTAGACTAGAAAGAAAATATGTGGGCATATTTGTGCCATTGAATAATTGGGAATATAAGAGATTATTAGATTGCCAAAAGACGGAAGATAAAGTGAGCACAGAAGTGGCCTAGAACAAAGTCCTGGTAATTTTTCACGTTGACTCTGACTGTATTGATGGGCACAAAGGAAGCAACAGGCAGAGATACCATAAAAACCCACCTCAAGAACAAACTCAACCGAGTAACCTACCAGAAACCTCAGAATCCTACATTAATCAGAATCACCACATATAGTTGTGCAGTTTAAGCATCACACAAAGACCTCCAGCTCCACTTACCACACTCAGGTTCCTGGTGAGGGGGATCTATCAGCCAAAAAAAAAAAAAAATGTGCTTTTATGAAATGTGTCTATAGGGAGCACTTTTTATCATTTATATGATGATACAGTATGTGCTAGCCACCATCATTGGTCCACTTTTGCTTTCTTGAGGCTAACAAAGTAAGAAAGATCTGTGCTATATGCTTCAGTGGAAGAGGCAGGTAATACCCACAAGTAGGGGCAAGTCTTCAAAATGTCACAAAAATTATTAAAATTAAAAGATACTTGAAAAAGTATCACTGCGCCTTATCTGTCTTGCTGAATTAAATTTAAATTAATATACTAAGTACTTTTTAAATATTTAGTATTTAAAGAGAGATTGGGGAGACTACAGGACGTAATTAGAAGAGTCTAATGGTAAAGCTGACAAAGAAGAAAGGGTGCCTAAAAGAGGACTTTTCAACATTTCTGATGAGTTTTATATTTAGTTCCACTTCATAGTTTGAGCACTATCTCGACACTAACGAGGTCACAAGTAGTGAGTATAAGAGCCAGAAGCTTGTGATCATTTGGTACAATGTTTTCTATTCCAATTATACTATAGACAAATGAACTTTCTTATATTTCAACTTGTAACTGCAAAAGTTTGAGAATAAACTTAGTATAAAGAGGGGGATTCAGTTTTTGCTGTTGTTGTTTTTGTTTTTTGTTTTGTCACCTCAGAAGTGTATGCAGGATTTCATAGGTGTGATCTTCTGGAATGGGTAATTAAGAAATATTTAACTCATCTTGAAGGGCCTGAATACAACTAGCATAAAATTACACTGTAAGCTCATGGCAGAACCAAGAGCTGGATTTTAATTTAATTATCTAAGAAATGAGTGGATAATGTCTCAGGAGTCTTTACTTTAGATTACAGATTTAAAAAGAAAAAGGAAAAAGAAGAAAATTTTTAAAGTCTGTTGATTCAGAATAAGGCCAATAAACCTGAAGATCACTGTATTCTCATTAAATATATTTAATTATTCTCAAGATTAAAATCCCACTGCTATTTTTTGCAATTAAATAAAGTGAGAGATCATTGTGTTGCAAGATTTATATTTAACAACTTAAAAGGGAGCATAACTAAATATTTCCAATTATTTATATTCTGATTTATCACAGGGAATATTGAATCACTTGTTTAAATATTAAAAAGAAGATGTAAGATACCATAGCCATAAGATGTTTGAACAAATGGAGCAGTAAGGAAGTTACAGGTGTGTTAATAACACTTAATAACATAACCTGGTTCCATGTATTCCTTCAGCATCTCATCCCCAAACACAAGTAAAATATGTTGTGAAAATTTCCTTTGAATATTTCTAAACACTTTTTCCTCCTACAGTATTTTCATCAGAAGATGGCAGCAAAATATCATAATCCATAATGTTTATAAGTCTTTTCCAACAGTGTAATCAAATAGTTTGGAATATTTATAAAAATCTATTTTATTCTTATTTAAACTGCTAATGTGTTGAAATGCTCTTTGGTTGAATAATGCAACAGCACACTGATTTTTGAAGGCAGTGGGATGAGAGACACTTTATAATTTGAATAACTCCTCTGCAGAAATAACTAATTTATTTGATCCTTTAAATTAGTGGAAATGGCTGCGTAGCATTTTGAAGTTGTTTTTTATTTCCTTAGCGTAGTACTTCAAAAAATTACTACAACATAAATTATTTTAAAGACAAATTTATTTGGAAATATCTAACATATTTGTACATGAAATTAGACTCAAAAGCTATTTGATTTACTTTTACTGAAGAATAGCTAAAACAATTTATATTTTACTTCCTGAATTAAAAAATGAAAAAAATGACATTCTGTGGTGAATTCAAAATTTTATTTTTAAATTATCTAAATGAGTTACTTGTAAATTTATCTATTTTAATGGCTTCTTTTCTAATGATATCTAATATTCTCTCAGCAGGTAAAATTTGTATAAAGAAAATTTGACCTTGATAAGGTTATCGTAAGAGTTGAAGTACCTAATGAAGAAATAGTTAAGAACTATATGATTTAAATTTCTGTACATCAAGCTATGGGATTTGAACTTCTTGCCTCAGTATTTGGAGAGACAGATTGTGTGAAAAATGTGTATGTCAGTTATTTACATATTATAGATAAAAGTATTGATTATATGTTGATTTTTCACATATTGCCTCTCAGCCATTCCCTTACCCTTCTATACTCTGCTATGTGCTACGAGGCCTGGGAGTCTGTGAATAGTATCTCCAGCTTTCTTTTAGCTGACTTCCTCGTAGAATCTGACCATGGAGCCATTGGGAAATAACTGATAGATGAGAGGAGGGAAACAGAGTTGGGTTTACTGTTCCAGGGAACTCCAGCTTCCTTCTGTACCCCTAGTACCATCCCAGTGAGTTATCTTCGTCGTTTGAGAAGCAGCCATGCAGCGTCTACCCCTCCACAGGTCTGAGCACTAGCCTAAGTGTGGCTCCTCCTGAAATCCAAACACCAGCCACATGTGCAGCTACACGAATGTGTGGGAACCTCACTGGAGAATACCATGAGAGACATAAAATGTCTGTAAGATAAAGTGTCTACATGTGTCACTTAGCAGTATGATGCAACCTGGCCAGGGGATTTCCAGGAGACAAGACCACCTCAGCACAGATAGAATTCTCATAAACCTTGAAACAAAGCTTGCCCTTACAAGAATAGCTTAAATTACCTTTCTAAAAGAAATACCTGGTAACTGACCCTGCATTAACACAGATATAAAAAAGGAAGAAGAATCCCGTAATCTCTGAGAATAGTCTTCAGACAGAGATCTACCTGACTGTTTCTGGCCCATACCACTGGCCTCCTCCCACTGTCCCTCTTTTGAGAATGTTGCCATAATAAACCACTTGAATATCACATTATGTCTAAGGCTCATCTTTGACACAAATTGAATCAAAGGGAAAAAGTCACCCATTTGAAAGCTAATTAACAAGGACCACAAGAAATCCCCAAATACAACATTCACATCTCTGATTTCTTCAGCTGTGGTGATTTAAGCTGTTTCTTGCTGTTATTAATCCCCAAATTCTTCCACTTACTCTGTTGATTCTTTCAACTTCCAACAGCTATGTAATCAGTTCTCTGTATTAAATTTCCTCTCTTTGAAATACCTATTATGGATTCTCGCTGGATGCGTATTACCTGATAGGAAAATACAATTAAAACCCAGGAAGATAGTTTTAAGAAAATATTGTCCCTGGCTTGTATTGCCTTATTTCCTTGTTATTTGGTTCAGATTTTTAATTTTTAAAACCATCCAAGTTATTTTTGTCCCACAAGAGAAACTGCACTGGAGAGACTAGTAACACAAAGAACATGCTCATATAATAGCATTTTTCATCTGTATGATAAACTCATAATACCTGTGCTGAAATCCATAAGACTGTATGAGAAATGCTCTCTGATGTCTGAAAAAGCCATTATAAGAGAAGTAATTGTGTTTGTGTTCTATGAATTCTGAATACATGTGTATGCATGGGTGGGGACTGTCCTATCTTGAGATTTAATTATATGTTGTTTAATTACTTTCTGCATTATGAAACCAAAGTTGGTGCAAGTGAGAGTTCAGGCATTACAACTTACTCTTGCTCTCTGAAACAATAATTTCTATCTTAGAACCCAGTTAGTTAAGCAAGAATTTTATCTATAGGAAATAATTTAAAAAAAAACTGTAGTGCAAGTTGGTAGGTGACACACATGGTCTAAGATGACTTCACAGAGTAACAGACTAGGACTTTACAAGATGCACTACTTGGAAATCATAAAGCAAACAATTTGCATGAAAAAGGCATGTCAGGTGATACAAAAGCATCAAACCCAAGACAGATATTTAAGAATAGATATCTAATCAAGTTAGGGAAACTGGTAAGAACAACGTCAAATTCTAGTGATGCAGAGAGCTAGACAGGTTACCAGGACATTCATAAAACTGTTGACCAAAAATTGGGATCAAATCTGTAGAAAGCATGTAGTACTCAGAACATGCAGGAACCTGTTTCTCAAAAGGCTGCAGAAAGTTAGCTGTGATAGGATACTGAAGCACAGAATGTGGGCTCCCCATTAACTATACTTGTTGATTCATCTTTAATACTGGAGGTAGGAAATGCAGGAAGGGAGTGATTTGCTCCAGTTTTCAGGAGATTGAGAGGTTGGGAAGTAGGTTTTGGAGAAAGAAATTTATACTTTAACAAGGCAAACTAAATTAACAAAATAATTCTTGGATATTGTAGGATGTAGAAGCTTGAGGATTAGTCATTATTCGTTTATCCGACTCAAAAGTTTCAATATTGTGCATTCTTTTTTGATTTATTCCCACCAAATTTTATTTATCTAAATCATAAACAATTAAGATTATGCTTTGAGTATTTTATTATCTTATTTGTGTTTAAATGCCAAGGCTTCTACTAGCATTTTAAATTTAGACACAAAAATATTTAATTCTATCATTTGCTGAAATGTTATATTCCCATTGAACTTCAAAAAATGAATGCAATTTCAGTAAGCAGTTTTCTGTTTCTTTAGTTACATTTTAAGTACTGTTTTTAAAAAATAAATGACATCTAAGAGAATAATTTGGGGAATATACATATATTGGAGAAATTCAAAGAACTGTAGAAAATGAGTAAATCAAAATGATTAGATCAAAACTCTAGATCAAAATGCTAGAGTTTTTGACTCCCAGTTTGATGGTTTATTAATATTTTATACAATGGGAAATTAATTTTGCCATAACAAACCAATGTATTTTCTTCATTATATGCATATTGAACTTGATTTTATCTTGAAACTAGATTTTCATTATATTCAAAAGAAAAGTTTATTTAAATTACAAAGAGTAAAAAGAAAACTTTTTAAAGCATAAAATTGCCTTGTCTTTTGGAATTTAAAAATAGATTTAATTTTAAATTATTTAAATGTTATATCAGTCTGGTCATAGTAACATGTTATTTTAGTTCCCACCTGTGGAGGTTAATGTACAAAAATTACAGTAGCTTGACATAGAACGACCAATTAGTGAGAAGGCCACAAAGATTATTATTTTTTAAATGTTTCTGTCTTTACATAGACAGTTTTTAACAACATGGTGAAATCCCCCTGAATGGACAGATAATTATGTCATGTTGCACTTTTACCCAAGGTATTTCCACTTGACTGTGACCCCCCTCCCACCATATACATGTACACAGACACTTCCTACTCCTCTTGCCTGTTTCATATCCTCCATACCACATATCCATACATACAATATATACAATATATCTATTTATGCATTTATTGGCTTTCTTTCCCTTCCTCCTGCAGAATACACACTCATGATGCCAGAGGGTTTTGATTGTTTGATTAACTTCTATATTCTCAAAATCTAGAAGACTACCTGCACAAATATTTGTAGAAAGAATGAATAAATCAATGGCTAATAATTGCCCCTCCCTAACCTCTGTGCAACAATATGGAGAGGAACTTTGTGGGGTATCAATACCCATGAGACATCTCTGATGTCTCCAGGCATATTTTGCAATTGTAAAGGTCAAACAGTGCAAATGATTTTGCCTGGAAGTAAATACCATGCATGGGTGAACAGTGATGTCAGGCGGTAAAGCTAATCTATAGACATTCCCTAGAGAGGAATTGCTACACATTTCTGTCCCATACTTTTAACCTACCATCTCTTCTCACTGATTCCTAATTTGTAGTCCCTTCAGATCTCTGCAGAAAGATCACCTCTAATTTCTGATTCAAGTCTCTTCTGAGCCTGTGGCTATTCTTTATTGTTGTTACTGGTAACGCAACATCTCAATTTTGCTGTTCACTTTCCTCACATTCTCCTTACTATTTGGGAGTTGCTTCCTTCTCTTGTTTTCATTTATCTTTAAGTGATAGAGGAGAACATTTCCATATGCCCTGTCAGCAATTTAACCTGTGTATTGGTCCAGTCTCGCATTACTATAAAGAACTACCTGAGACTGAGTAGTATATGAAGAAAAGAGGTTTCATTGGCTCAAAGTTCCACAGGCTGTTCAGGACACATGGCTTGGATGGCCTCAGGAAACTTACAATCATGGCAGAAGGTGAAGGGGAGGCAAGCACAGTATTCACATGGCCAGAGCAGGAGAGAGAGTGAAGGGGGAGGTGTTACACACATTTAAACAACCAGATCTCGTGAGAGCTCATTCGCTCTAATGAGAACAGTAATGGGGAAATCCACCAGCATGATCCAATCACCTTCAGCCAGGTCCCTCCTTCAACACTGAGGATTACAATTCAACATGAGATTTGGGTGGGGACATAGAGCCAAACCATATCAACCTGGAAGCCTGGTGTTTCTTTGTTCATTGATTAGCTGGACATTAGTCCTTCAAGGTAGACTAAGGTAGAAAATTATGTAAAGAATCATACAATATTACTTCTTTAGTATGCTAATACAACATGAAGAGGGATAAAAGGGCCAATCTAAATCATTAAGTCAAAAATGTATCTGACAATATGTTCTTTTCCATACATTCGCTCATTACAGGATTTTACTAGCGGCACATCTAGCTACCTAGCAGACCTTTCTAACCAGTAGTATAGAGATCAGTATGCATTTTTCCTAGGCAGCAAAATACTGTGGCAAGACTATACCAATCTAATAAATGGAGAATCCATCATTCCAACCCAGTTTTGTCTTGAGGATTTAAGGAGTTCATATTAATCCAGAATGACCCCCTCAGTCTAGGAATAGTTCAGGAGAGATACTATGTCATAAATATCAGACTGTTTTTGAATGTATTTGAGATATTTATTAATTGTGTTCAATTATAAAATATTTTTATTATCAAGACTCTAGTTTTCAAAAGTTTAGAGAAAGAAAAGAAAATTATATTCTAAAAGAGCCCCAAATTTTGTTTTCTTCATATGTCTAATTTAACAACAAGTAGACAAGGCATGGTCCTAATTTCCTTCAGATGGTACAGAACAGAGAATAAGAAAAATCATTACTCAAGTTATAAAAAAGTCATTTGTGCTGACCTACCTTTTTAAAAATAGAGACTTCTAAAAGAATTCCATTGCTCTTAAGCACACCTTGATTCCTTTCTGATGCCATGCCAAAAGAAGTTGAGTATCATCTATCGATACATAACTTGCTGTATCATACTTAATATTTTCTTTATTTGGGGGCTTTTTAAAAAATCTATCTCTCAGGAGGAGTCAAGCATGGTCTAGAGACTGATTTCTAGTGAGTTTCTGAACTCTCTAATCTACATTACTAGAAAACATTTAAATCACTCCTAACAATTATTTTAAAAGGGCCTTTATTATACATACAACTTGCTAATGATAATGACACTGTCATTATCCTAACAAAATATGTTAATATTTATCATATACATTGCAAAAGTGAGGAATTGACATTTAGAGGGGTTAAGCAATGTTTCAAATGATATATATCTTTTAAGTGAAAGATCTGTACTTTCAACACTGTTGAGTCTGACTGCAAGTGAGTACTCTGCACCACTGTGTTTTCAATTTTCTGATAGTTTTCACTGTCTCAATGTATGAGAAGTTATGTTATCTCAGTATATGAGATAACCACTGTAAAAGAGCAGCAATGTATGAGGGAAGTTAATCCTCTCAATTATATCTCCTGATATAGACTCTGGAAATAATATTAACAGCATTGCTCCATGATTCTCTTTTTAAAATGGTACAGTTGTCTTAGCAATGTTACAAACTCTAATGTTTCTTACGTCTAATGAAAAAAAATATCTTTCATCCTGCTAATGTACTGGCTAATGATTTTGCTGACTGTTCCTTCAAAGGTCTAGGAAAGATTCCTTTTAATTAAATTGAGGAACAGCTATTTCAAATTCAGAGGTTTTCATCATTAAAAAGTGTCACATATAACCTTTGTATGCTGAGAAGTTAACAGTATCTTCATTAGTAAAGAGTTTTGTGACACATTTTGCTTGAATCTCAAATTTGAGTTCTAGAAAGTTTGTCACTAAAGTTATGCATGTTATTTTGTATAAAAAGTAAAAATACTATATCTACGTATTTTCCTCTTTTTCTCAATGATTAAAGTGACAGGCATCTGAGAATACCATTACAGTGGTCTTTGATCTCATTTTTCCTCCACCTCTTCCTTTCTGAATACTAAATTTCTTGATTTCCTTAGTGCTAAAGTATATAAGCCATAACTATTCCTCTAAGACAGTATACTGTAGGGAAAAGAACATTAGACTAGGAATCAGAAGAGTGGGCTTTAAAGTAAGGTTCACCCACATAATAATGGGTATATAAAATGGTAATTTAAAAGCATCCATATCACAAGATTGCTATGAGGATTGAAAGAGATAAACATGTTAATTGTAGCATAGAGGAGACATTCAATAAGTGATAGTTGTCCTGCTGTCCTAATTAAATGGCCTTAATAAGCAAGTAGTCATTAGAAAATGATACTATGTTTATCAAACGAAACAACATCAATAACAAAGAACTATGTATACACGTGTATGTTTATATTTACCTTTTTAGCTATCTATCTATCTATCTATCTATCTATCTATCTAGTTTAGGGTTGTACTGCAAAATGTAGTAAGCTTCATTTAATGTAAATAATATTCACATCAAAGCTTTTAGAATTATGACAATAAGTCAAAGTCAGATTCTTCATAACTTTGAAATAATCTTAGAAAATAGGAAAAATATGTGCAATTAACACCATGAACACATTAACACTAATGAACTCATTGCAGGTGAAGTTATTTTCTAAGCTGTGTTTTGTCTATACTTTCTCAACTTCCTACTTACATCTCACTCCCTTCTAATCTGACTTCTGCCTACAACACACCACTGAAAACTTAATTCCAAATTTACTGCTAGCCTCATAGTTGCTAAATCCAGGGTTATACTTTTCAGTTATTATATTATTCAATCTCTCAGTGTTAGAAGAGGCAATCTGGCATAAACCTTGCTATGGACTGAACTGTGCACCCCTCAAAATTCACATGTCTTCCAAACTCAAGAACTGTGAGAAATAAATATCTATTGTTTAAATCATTTCGTAAATAGTATATTCTCACAGAAGCCAGAGCAAACTCAGATGGGCCTTGAGCCTTTTTATAGGCTCTTGATGATAAATCAAGTCTCTGACCACTGTTCACTCTGTGTAGGAGAATAGGTCCCCAGATGGCCTTGGCCACTTCTGGCTTTTTCCCTTTTCTTGCAGTTGTTGGTAGAAACCACAGAATGTTCCAAGAATGCAACATCCTTAGAAAAGGATAAAGTGTCCAGAACCATCTGGAATGAGTCCTCATTCCTCTGGGAACAGGATGTTTTGCAATCCTTGATTGAGCTCAGTGAGTTTGTAGTTATATCCAGGATGAATAATCGCAGGGCAGAGCATTCTGGGGTCTCTCAGATCTCCATCTGCACTGGGCAGCTTTCCTAAGTCCTGGAAAAACCAGAGTGTCACGGATCCTAGGCTTCTTTTTATCCTTGCTGCCTATTTGTAAGTAATAAATTCACTTTTCCTGACATTGTGTGAGTGCTCAGTCTGACCAAGCTCAAGCAGGTGGTAACCTGAGCTCCTTCCAGATTTAGAAACCTTTGCACTCTGGACTTTTGACAGTGCTGCATTTGCAGTGGACACCATTGATGAATGATACAGTTTTTCTCTTGGGGATAATGAACAGGCCTGCTAACCATTTTCTATACAAGGCAGGCTTCCCAAGCTTCATGTTCCTCAGCTGTGTTAAAAAAAAAAAAAAAAAAAAAAAAGAAAAGAAAAGAAAAAAAAACACTGTATATGCACCATTTTTTATGGGCTTAATGGCATTATCACTTAGAACTTGGGGGCAGAGAACTAATGCCCACACAGATGCCAGGAGCGTAATATCTCTTCTTGCAATATATTAGTTCCATCTCTTGAGGTCTTTATCAAAGACTTAACTCCCGCATCATTGGAGAGTGTCCTCATATTTATATATATTGCATTATGAAACTTTATGCTCTACTGCCCTTTGTTTAACCCACTTGGGATCAAGTCCTACACATCTTGTCCCGGAAACTGCTGAAATGTGTTTCCTAAGTGCAGTAGCTACTTCGTTGTCTAATACCTTTCTTCCCTCAGTAGAGTCAACACTTCCCCTGGGAATCTACAAAACAACTACTAGAATTAATTAGTAACTTTAGCAAGATCACAGGATACAAGGTTAAAAGACAAAAATTAATTATAATTATAATTTTATACATAAGGGGTCAGCAAACGTTTTCTGCAATGAGCTAGATAGAAAATATTTTAGGGTTAGCAGTCCATGCATCTGTTCACAAGCTCTACTCTGTGATTGTTGTATGAGTGGCCATACACAAAATGTAAGTAAATGAGAGGGTTATGTTCTAATCAAATTTTTTACAAAAGCAGACTACAGGCTAGATTTGGTTTATGAGCTCTATGAATTATGGATTAGAAGACTTTGCATTGTATCTAATTAACTAATATTTTAAAGCCTCCTTTAATTTCTTTCACCCATATTCTATAGTTTTCAGTGTAAAGGCCTTGTACATCCTTTGCTAAATGTATTCCTAAAAATTTGATGGATCCTGATGCTATTATAAGTTGAATTATTTGTCTAAATTTATTTTCCAATTTTTTGGCTGCTAGTATATGGAAATATAATTAATTTCCACACATTAACCTTATATCTACAATTTGTCTAAGTTACCTTATTAAAGTACTTCTTTTTCTTCAACTTTCTTTCTTTTTTATTTTTTATTTTCCTGAGACAGAGTCTCCCTCTGTCACCTGGAGTGCAGTGATGTGATCTCCACTCACCACAACCTTTGTGTCTGTGGTTCAAGTGATTCTCCTTTCTCAGCCTCCCAAGTAGCCAGGATCACAGGGGCATGTCATTGTGCCCGACTAATTTTTGTATTTTTAGTAGAGATGGGGTTTCGCCACATTGGCCAGGCTGGTCTCGAACTCCTGACCTCAGGTGATCCACCCACCTTGGCCTCCCAAAGTGCTGGGATTACAGGCGTAAGCCACCACATCTGGACCAACTTTCATTTGAAGTTCTGGGGTATATGTGCAAGATGTGCAGGTTTGCTACACAGGTAAATATGTGCTATGGTGGTTTGCAGCACAGATCATCCCATCACCTGGGTAATAAGCCTAGGTAATAGGTAATAAGCCTAATCCTAGGTAATAAGCCTAGCATCAATTAGCTATTCTTCCTGATGCTCTCCCTCCCCCAAAACTGTTCCCAACAGGCCCCAGTGTGCATTGTTTCCCCCAATGTGTCCATGTGTTTCCATTATTCAGTTCCCATTTATAAGTGAGAACATGCAGTGATCGATTTTCTGTTACTGCATTAGTTTGCTAAGGATAATGACTTCCAGCTCCATCCATATTCCTGCAAAGGACATGATCTTACTCTTTCTTATGGCTGCATAGTATTCCATGGTGGTGTATATGTACCACATTTTAGTTATCTGTTCTATCATTGATGGGCATTTAGGTTGATTCCATGTCTTTGTTATTGTGAATAGTGCTGTGATGAACACACATCTCCATGTATTTTTATAGTAGAATGATTTATATTCTATTGGGTATATACCCAGTAATGAGATTGCTGGGTTAAATGGTGTTTCTGCATGTAGATCTTTGAAGAATCACCACACTGTCTTCCACAATGGTTGAACCAATTTACACTCCCACCAAGGTAAAAACGTTCTTTTTTCTCCACAGCTTTGCCAGCACCTGTTTTTCTTCTTTTTTTGACATTTTAATAATCGCCATTCTGAGTGGTGTGAGATGGTATCTCAATGTGGTTTTTATTTGCATTTCTCTAATGATCAGTGATGTTGAGCATTTTTTCATAGCTTTTTTTTTTTTTTTGGCCACATGTATGTCTTATTTTGAGATGTGTCTGTAAAGTACTTCTTAAAGATCTCCAAAGATTTTCTATGTAAGCAATCATATGATATGCAAAAAAAAATTCAATTTTTAAAATCTATTCTTTATGCCTTTGTTCCCTTAACCTTATTGCAACATCTAGGACTTTTAGTACATTGTGAATCAAATGCTCAGGGTTCATATTCTTGACTTTTTAATATTAGGGGAAAGTAATGAATATTTGACCGTTAAGTATGACGTTAGTTGTAAGATTTTAGTAGAAATCTATTGTCAAGTTCAAGAAGTCCTGTCTATTCCTAGGTTCCTAAAGCTACTTACATGGGTATTCTCACTATTGTGAAATAAACCTTTGTTGCTCACTTTTCTCAAATGTTTTTCATGTGTCTATAGAAATAAATTTTTCTCTTTTATCCTCTTACTATGGCAAAATGCAAAATTTTATTTTTGATTGTTAAATTAACTTCATATTTCTTCTTGTATACACCAAAATAGTTATAATGCATTATCTCTTTTATAAGTTTCTGGTTTCACCTCTGTTTTGTTAAGAATTTTGTGTCTATGATTATGAGGAATATTGGTCCATGAATTTATTTTATTGTTTTAATATTGTTATATAATTCTGGTATTAAGTCAATTTTGGACTCATAAGATGAGTAGGGATTGCTTCTACATCTTCTGTTTTCTTAAAGAGAATGCATAGAGTTGTTATTACAGGCAATCCCCGACTTACCATGGTTCAACTTAAAGCTTTTTAGACTTTACAATGGATTTATCAAGCAGCAACACCATCTTAAGTCAAGAGGCATCTGGGCAGGGTTTTATTCTGTTGCTTTGATAGCCTGGGTTCAAGAGATCCTCCTGTATCAGCCTGCCAAGTACCTGGGACTACAGGCACACGCCACCATACTTAGCTAATTTAAAAAATTTTTTTGTACAGACAAGGTTTCATGTCCTGTTTTATGTTGCCCAGGCTCAACATGGTTTATATTCTCCTGAGTAGTTGGAACTACAGGTGCTCACCACCACACCCTGCTAATACAGATACGTTATATTTTATTGGCCCTTAATATAGTAAATAATTTTATATTGTATACTGCACATTTTAAATGTTATATTGTAGAGAAAATACATTTCGTTATATGTTTCAGTTTTATCAGGCAATTAAATTGGTTAGGCTGAAATGCAGTGTGATGGGTCAATGCTCAAGTCTCAATTCATATTTTTGTCTTTTCTTCAAGATAGTTTCAGCTGGCCTCATGCAAGCAAGCTTGGTTCGGTGGTTTGCCAGGGGCTTTATACACACACACACACACACACACACACACACACACACACACACATATAAAACTATATACAATATATTATATAATAATATATAATAAATATATAATATATAATATATTATGGTTTAGATTTTTTTAGATTGCGTGTTTTAGACTATATACTTTTATATAAAAATATGTTTAATAAATATTTATTTATATATTGTTATATAAATATAAATATATATATATTGTTTTATATTTGTATATTCATGAGTATGTGTATTAACTAATTATTTCCCTTCTCCGAATTCTCTTTCCTCACTTTTTAATCACATAGATTATTCTGAGCTCTTCCTCTTATTTCCTTTGCCCAGAAAGATAAAAAATTTTTCTAGCAGTGTTTAAGCTGCCTATGCCACCACTACTGTGACTACAAAAATGAACTTGTTCCAAATTTTATATGTAGTCCAAAATATGCCTGTTTTTGTTCTAATCCAGAGAACTTTGTTTTTATTTTTACTTTTTTTTCCAAAATTTGTGATCAATATTTGTAGAAGAATTAGTGTGATAGAAACTCACTCCTCTTTACCAGACGCAGAAATTCACAGATGTCTACTTTACAGTATAAGGATTTAGATTCTTTATTATATATGAAGTAGTATTCCCTGATATTGTGTGGTAAAATCAGATTAAACACTAGTAAAGAGTCTGAAATATATAGACCTTGAATACACTGTGCTAGTTTACCCTAACTGCAGCTCCACTTCTAAAAAATAAAATATATTGCATAATTTTTAACTCAATTTTTCATTTTGAGACACCTGAGAGTCACATCTGGTTGTAAGAAATAATAGAGATATACCATGTATTCTTTACCCTGTTTATACCAATGTTAATATCTTGCCAAATTATAGTATCACACCCAGGAAACTGACGTTGACACAACGTCACATAATTTGACAAAATCCAGCAATCTTATTTTCTCAGTCTTATAGAGACTCATTTGTGTGTGTTAATCTTATGCAATTTTATAATATGTGTTAGTATATATAGCCACCACCACAGTCAAGATATAGACAGTGTCATCACAACTTTGTGTTGTGTTATGACCACACTCACGTTCTCCCAGACACTCCTAACCATTCATTTCTTCTCCATTTCTATCATATTTGTTATTTTAAGAAAAAAACCTTAAAACAAAATTACTACTTGACTGAGCAATACCTTTAATGTGTATATACACAAAGAAATGTAAATCATTCTACCATAAAAACATATGCATGCATATATTCATTACAACACTATTTTCCATACCAAAGACATGGAATCAACCTAAATGCCCATCAGTGGTAGACTGGATAAAGAAAATATGGGACATATACACCATAGAATACTATGTAGCCATGAAAAAGAATAAGATCATGTCTTTTGCAGGGACATGGATAGAGTTGGAGGCCATTATCCTCAGCAAACTAAGGCAGGAACAGAAAAGTAAATACTGCATGCTCTTATAAGTGGGAGCTGAATATTGAGTACATATAGACATAAAGAAGGGAAAAACAGACACAAGGGCCTATTTGAGGGTGGAGGGTGGGAGGAGGGTGAGAGTCAAAACTACCTATTGGGTACTATGCTTATTACCTCGGTGATAAAATAATTTGTACACGAAGCCCAGTGACAGGCAATTTACTTACATAGTAAACTTGCACATGTACTCCTGAACCTAAAAGTTTAAAAACATGTTATCATACTGTAACTGCACATGTACCCCTGAACCTAAAACAAAAGTTTAAAAACATAAATGTTATCATAATGTATGTAAGCATATGGCATCTTACAGTCTGTGTATTTTTGACATTGGCATTTTTTACTAATCACAGTTCCCTTGAGATTCATCTAAGTTACTGTGTGTACCAATAGTTTATTCCTTGTTTTTGTTTATTAATATTTCAAGATGTGTCTGTACCTCTCATTGTTTAACCATTCCTCTTTTGAAGGAAATCTTGGCTGTTTCCAGTTTTAGGTTATCACAAGTACAGCTGCTATATTGGCATTCATATGCAGGTTTTTTGATGAACATGGAATTTCATTGCTGTGGGACAAATGAACAAGATTTCAATTGCTGGGTAATATGGTAATTGCATGTGCAGTTTTACAAGAAACTGGCAAACAATTTTTTCTTAGCTTTTCCTTTTTTTTTCCTTTCTTTTTTATTTATTTATTTATTTATTTTCTGAGGGAGTCTCATTCTCTTGCACCCAGGCTGGAGCGCAGTGGTGCAATCTCGGCTCACTGCAACCTCTGCCTACCAGGTTCAAGCGATTCTCCCGCCTCAGTCTCCCAAGTAGCTGGGATTACAGGCACCTGCCACCATGCCAAGCTATTTTTTTTTTTTTTTGTATTTTTAGTAGAGATGAGGTTTCCCCATATTGGCCAGCTGGTCTCAAACTCCTGACTTTAGGTGATCTGCCCGCCTTGGCCTCCCAAAGTGCTGAGATTACAGGTGTGAGCCACAGCTCCCAGCCCCAAACAATTATTTTTACAAGTGGCTGTACCATTTTCCATTCCCACCAGCAATATGTTTTTCTGGTTTTCTGCCTCCTCACAAGTATTTAATGTTGTCACTATTTTTCATATTAGCCATTCTGTTATTTGTGTGTGTAGTATTATTTAATTATCGGTTTAAATTTTATTTTCTTAATGTCTACTGATGTTGAATATCTTTTCATGTACTTAGTTGCCATTTTACATTATCTTAGGTAAAATATCTGTTCATGCCCTTTGCTGTTTTCCTAACTGTACTGTTTCTTTTTTTAAAAAGTGTTGCATTTTAAATTATGTATATATTCTAGATACTAGTTCTTCGTCCGATATGTGGATTCCAAATATTTCCCCCCACCTGCCCCCATCTGTACTTGTTTCATTCTCTTAACAGATTCTTCTGGAGAGCAAAAGTTTTTAATTTTGATGTGATCCAATTATTTTTTTTTCTTTTGTGTCTAAGGACTCTTTCTCACATTATATCCTGAAATTTTTTTTCTTATTTTTAAAAAGGCTTTTGATTTTACATTTAAGTCTATAATCCACTTTGGGTTAACCATTATAGAAGGCATGAGACTTTGGTAGTTCTTTTTATGCTCCTTATGGATGTCCAATTGCTTCAGCATTATTTGTTGGAAAGACTATCATTCCTTCAATTAACTGCTTTTGCAACTTTGTAAAAATCAGAGATATTTTAGCCATATATTTTGGGGATCAGCATTTTGTTTCATTGATTAATGTATTTATCCCTTTGCCAATACCACAATTTCTTTATCATTATAGGTATATAGTAAGCCTTAATCTTAGGTAGAGTTATTCTTCTTGCTTTCGTCTTCGATTTGACATCATTTACATATTTGGGATTTATGCCTTTTCATCTAAATTTTAGAGTAAATATGTTTATATCTACAAAGAGCACTTAAGACTTTGATAAGAATTGCATTAAACTTACAGATTAATTTTACAAATCATGAACACAGTATAGCTCTCCATTATTTACATTGTCTTTTATTTCTTACATAAGCATTTTTAACTTTAGCATATAAAGCTTATATATGTTTTCGTAAGCTTTTACCTATTTCATTTTATTTGGAGAATTTGCAAATAATATTGTATTTTAAATTTCAGTCTACATATGCTAATTGTTGGATGCTTTTACAAATTAAGTAATAAATTTTCTTAATTTGTAAAATTTTCAGGATCTAATGTGAGAAAGAGTTCTTAGACACAAAAGACAAAGAAAATAATTGGATCACATCAAAATTAAAAAATTTTGATCTCCAGAAGAATCTGTTAAGAGAATGAAACAAGTACAGATGGGAGCAGGTGGGGGGAAATATTTTGAATCCACATATCAGACAGAGGACTAGTATCTATTTGTAAAATTAAGTAAATTTTAATTAAAAAAATTTTTAATTTGTAAAATTACTAAATTTTACACATTAAGTAATAAATTTAGTTAAGTATGCAGTAGAGGATAGTTTTTGAATATAATAGATATAACCCAATAGTGCCAGAACTTCAAATTTCTCTTCAAATTTAGACATTATATTAGCCAAAACATTAAAAATTTTTTCTAAAATATTTTGAAATTAGATTGAATACATGCTTCAATACATAAATTAATTTTTTAATTCAAAACATTTAGAGTCCCATATTTATGAAGCCATTGGTTAATGCATTGAACTCTTGGTTCTGGAGGTAATTTGCAAAAGTAGGTGTCACAGGAAAAATAACTGGTAAGAGAGGTAAGAGATAATAAGGTATGTTTAAAACATTTTGAATTTGACAATTCATTTCATTTCAGACAGTTCTGTGTTTGGAAAGAGGCTAAATAAATTTCCTTAATAACTAGGCAATTCAATTATTTAGGAGCTGTATAAGGTTTTAATTATTACTGGAAACCAGGGTGGAGTCAGAGCCTTGTTTTTCTGAATCTTTTAAGAGTCAGCAATGTAACCACTGAGCACTAGTATCATGTTGAAGTAGTTCCCCTGGTGTATCTGGCTTTTTGAAAATTGCTCATTTGCTCTAAAAAGTATCCCCATTTAGCTGCATTCAAAAGAGAAGAATGGATTTAAAAGCACAGTCGTGTTATTTCTTTCCTGTTTGTCCCCATCATCTATTCTCTGAATGCACAGCTGCAGGATCTATTGAAGACATGTGTGGACATAACATATCAGATGCTAGGGGAAAGACTCTACAGTGAAATTATAACTATATTATGTGTATGTTGCTGAAAGTGTTGCCTAAGCAAGTCACTGATCAGAAATAAAATATTTCTCTAGTAATAGCTGTAGCAAATAACTTCTACAATTTGTGTCACTTGTCTAATGTGACACCTTAAATACTTAGCCAGAGTCAACTCTGGACTCCAATCTAAACAGTATTTACTCTTGAAAAATTATCAGAATGAGAGTTAAACCCTCCACTGCCTTAGTTTCTTCAGTTTTAAAGTTGAACTCTGATATAATATAGAGCCTGTTGGAGTATTTAGTAACTAGATGGTCTACATATTTTTTAAAAAATAGATAAATTACCTGTTGCTAATTTAGATTTTTTTCAAATACACAAGTAAATATTTTCATATAATTTTGAATGAGTGTCTTTGATACTCACCTCTAACTCACCTTTTCAGTTCTTATTTTACCACTTGAAATGGTTTTGGTTTTCTTTCAGATATACCATTGAGCCCTAAACTACTTTCTTCAGCAGTGAATACCTATAAAAAACCAGTGTGCCCCAGAATCATTTCCACTAACTGGGACTCCAAATGAAGTGCTGTATATCAATGCCTTCAGGCTTGAGATACACTGCAGCGTTCTTTCTCTTGGTAAATGAAGCATGTTTTGTGGAACACTGTGCATATCAGTGAATAGTTGTCTAGGGAAAAATAAACAGTGTTGATTTTCTTTATATCTAGTCCGGAAAGAAGACATGAACCAGAATGTAAGCTTTGATAGATAGAAACATACCCAAAAATGTTTTTTTAAAGGGATAAAAGGACTTTTATGAGTTGCAATGTCAGACAATATAGTTAATTGATATAGGGTCAGATGATACCATTTCACTGAATAGTTTCTTGGCCAAAGGCAATGTACTTTCTTTATAAATAGTTTTTCTGGTGCAATTAAAACCTGCTTTTTGAAATCATTGGAGACACAACCAAGGAAGAATGTGATTAAATATTAGATACTGGCTTTTATTCTTCCTAAAACCCCTTCTAGTCTTAATGTATGCAAATGTACTTAAAGGCTTCATTTTACCCCTAGAACATGAACTAGAAAGGTAAACTACGCTTCATACTTAAAACACTCCAGTGCTTCTGTGCTGAGTGTTGCTAATAGCTGTGTTGTCCTAATATAATTCTCTAGGTGCTCCACGTTCCCTTTGTAATCTACCTTTCATTAATTGAGGCAGAGAGTCTTACGATTTAAATTCAGAGGTATATGAGGTGTGAAAATATATTCATATCTGTCTGCTAATGAGACTGATTTTGTGGCAAACACACCAAGCCTTATGAATCTCAGTATGTGTCTGTATTTCACAAGAGTCACTTTAGGTAAACAATACAGTATTTTTCCATTCTCTTGTTCTTCCTTGAATTATCTTTCTGAGATTTTCCTTTTGAATTGGCTTTCAAGCTTGTTAAATTTTTTTTTAATATCAACATGTCATGTTTTCAAACATTTAGAGGAGATTTACAATTAGTCAAAGGGCATTCAAATTAGTAACTAGTCCATAAGGTTGTGAACAACTGGGTGTTTCTACACTCATGGTCCCTAAATCGTCTTTATAAGCACAAGGGTGCAGTAGGGGAGAAACTAAGGCAGCAACTTCCCCAACTTAAATTGACCCTGGTGATGTCACCAGTAAAATGAAGTTCGTCTCCTCCTGAGATTGTGTTGTTCAGTTGTTTTATTCCATGCATAGATTCCTACAGGTAGCATAGTGTGGTTTAGTACCATTTTTCACCACTGTGAAAGCAGGAAAAACTAACAGGTACGGTACTTGGGAGGCTCTTGGGTTCTTCCACTTAATACATTTTACTCAGAATATGAACAATACCGCTGAACTTCATTCTATTTTCTCGAGCTTTCTTGTGTTTGAAAGGATGTCAAAACTCTTCCTTTCTCATTGTATGCCTAAAATTCTGTGTTTTGCTGACCAACACTTTATTCTTTCTATCTGGATCATGTTCCAGTAATTACACAAGTTTTAGGTTCATTTAACAAAAATTCCTAAACGTCTATAACCAGTTACAAAATTCTCTTTAGAAATGCATTTTAACTATTTATTAGTTAATTAAATACCCTGACTCTATTAAAATATATTCTCTTCCTAGAACAATTCATTCTATTATACTGCAGGCTATAAAATTTATAATATAAAGATAGAAATTGATTATCATAATAATATAAAGATAGAAATTGATTATCATAAATATAGAATCTATCGTCCCTTGGGAACTAAAACAAATAACAATAGGCAGTTGGTTGGATACAACTTGACAATTAAAACATTCTCTTCCCTTTTGATTAAAGCCTAAAGAAAAAAGTATAAAAATTAGAATGATGCTTTATTACCATTTGCAACCTATCTTAACTCAGGGCTAGACTTATTTCAAACACACAGCAGCAAGTCCCTCCAAAATCTTTGCAGGATATACAGTTTGAAACTTAAACTTTGCCCAAGAAAGCAATATAGAACCTAAACAAGTCCTCTGACTTTTCTCTCTTAGTCCATGTATCTATGTAGAAATAATGCAAGGTCTGGTGTCTTTGCAGGTTCTGGTGTCTTTGCAACTTCCATTCCAAACTTGTTATAAAGCAACTTCCATTCCAAACTTGTTATAAACTTTTTTTAAAAATTAATATTAATACTTTATTTTTTGTTTGTTTATACTTACATTGTATATGTAATTGATCTAGAAATTTGAAGGAAAGTGATGTTATTTCATGCCATGTAAAATCAATCAACAGGATCAAATTAATCCCTATTTTCGACTACTTTGACAATATCCCTTTAAAATTCATCTATGATTATTGGTGGATATATTTTTGGAATGCCATTATTCAGACGACGGTTTAGTAAAATGAAACATATGTCTCCATTCCTGACCACGAAACCTCAGGTTTTCTATCATGTCAATAGCGTATAGAAAAGAGGGGCTTTGATTCACAAATATTGGATCCAAATATATAAATAATAATAGATATTCAAATCCTGTTTACCAAAGACACTGTAATGTAATGGGCTAGATTAGAGGCAGGCAATCTTTTTCTATAAAGGATCAGATAGTACGATTTTTTACTTTGGGCACATATGGTTTCTGTCATAACTACTCAACTCTGCGTTGGAGCACAAAGGCAGCCTTAGAAATTATGCCAGTCATAGCTGTGGTTCAATAAATATTTACTTATAAAGAGAAATGGTGGGCCAGACCTGGTCCATGGCCACAGTTTTCCCACTCCTGGTTTAAATAAATAAAATCAAGTGTAAATATTTCTTCAATGTAAAAGTATTAAATACATTTAATTAATTTTAGATATGTCTGTTGGTCCAATCTTACCTTTTCCTCTTGCCCAATAAGACACTTGTTATTATTTATTCATTTATTTATGTATATATGTCTCTTTGTCATCTACAGGAATGTAAAGAGTTATAAATTCCATTTTACTTCAGAAATTGGTTGAAATGAAGAAGTTTAGAATAATCAGAGGAGCCAAAGATAAAAGATAAATCTCTTTTTTGTAGTTTTGACCTGGGAGGGAATGATATAATAAGCAATCCATATGAGGAGGGTCTTACCTCGATTATAATTTATCTGCTTCTATTTCCTATTCAAAAAAGTTTTTCTGGGGCCTACTAGAAAGTATGCTCCCTTTCTTCCATGAAAAATCACAAATAAAAGTGAGCATAAAAGAATACATGCAATATGTGAACTATATTTCTTTATTATGTGCCTGTAGAAAATGCAAAAGGAATAAATGAATGAATGTAAATAGATGTGTTTATGTGTCTATATATGTATATAAATTCTAAATATACTTTGTTATTAATAGGTTAGAAATTAAAATGTTAATATCTAAGCATTTAAAGTATTCCAAAATGGAACCAAAATTTTCCAAAAGTGGATTTCTTCTATTATTAATGATAGAACTGTGATAATCTCCCCATAAAATGCTGATGATAGGCACTACAGGATAGCTTTAATGTTTATAACAGAAGTTTGGTTTTTATTTTATGGCTAATGGTGTTCAGTAAATTGTCTTTTTGGAATGCATTCACAGATTGAGAATCCCAAATTTAAAAATCCGAAATCTTAAATGCTTCAATATTTGAAACTTTTTGAGTGTCAACATGATCCTCAAAGGAAATGCTCACTGGAGCATTGTTCATTCGGGGTTTTTGGAACTGGGATGCTCAACTTGTGAGTATGTAATGCAAACATTTTAAAATCCCCCCAAAGAAACCCCAAATCCAAAACACTTCTGTTCCCAAGCATTACAAATAAGGAATATTTAACCTGTATTATATTCTAAACAACACTGTAGAAACTCATAGTTTTCCCACTCCATCCAAAATGGAAGCATTTAGTAAAAAAATAAATAAATAAATAAAGATAAAAACATAGTAATATAGCTCAAATATCAATCAAACAATCATTTAACTAAAAAACATATAGACAACAATACTCATTTTCCTGGTACTTAAAGAAAACATTTGCTCTAAGATAAATGACTTAAGAACAAATATAGATAACACATGTTCTCAATTCATTGGGCAAAAACAGTCACATTTTCTTTTAAATGGTACATTTTATGGTAATAATACTAACAACTGCCTTTCTTACCTCCTTCATTTTTTATTTCCTTCTGTTTTAATCACCTCCTTTGCTCCCCAGTGGCGAAGGAAGAAGTCCCTACTGGTGAAGAGGAATGAGCAAACACAAGATACCTGACACTGGACAGATGGGATGGAGAGCAGTTTATTAATCACATATGCTCAGCCAGGAAGAGGAAGACACTGTGCTATGCAGGGCCACATAGGGGGTGCATTGAGAAACAGAGTGAAAATCCAGAAGTTGTGGGTGGCAGAATTTGTAGTATCAAGAGGATGGGGTGACCCCTAGTAACCACAGGGGGTTGTGATTGGCTTCTTTGAGTAATATCGTGGGTTTGCAGGGAACTAAAAACCATTTCTCTGGAATAAGCTGGAATTGTGCTTAGTCTTCTTTATAAGGAGAGTTGTTTGATTAAGAAACATTATCTTTAGGAGCTGAGTGAGGGGGTGCCAATGTTCTTAGGTCTAGTCTGGGGAGAAATAATACTTACACAACAAGTTGGGCAAAACAGATTTATTACTCACAGATAGACAGCAAGGATAAACTGATATCTAGGATTAGTGGTGAGTCAATTCCTAATGCTCAGGAAAGCTGTCCGAGGTGGATAGAGTCATGTCTGCATGTGCCCCACATTGCACCAAGGCTAATGGATTAAGGCTCAAGGCACTCTGCTCTGAGTTTTATATCCTCAGCACAACTTGGATTGCTGATTTCAACCATCATAGAACACCCCGTTCTCAGAGGAATGAGGCTACAGCCCTAGTAGTTCCAGACGTTTTCTACTTATCTCAGGATGTTGCATTCTTGGTACTTTTTTCCTGAAAATTGCAAGCAATCAGGGATGAGCTGGTTTGGCCAAAGCCAACTTGTGCTCCTGTTGAGAAAATTGCATTTCGGCTATTTGATGCTCTTCAGTGCCACCAAATGTCAAGGCAGGACATAATATTGATTCTTAATTTTAATCCTTGTACCACAATTGACCTCTTCATGCTTTGACATAAATTTAAACCTTGGTAATGACTGAGATTTTTAGGGAGTCCTAAAAACCTCACTGGCAAATTTGGCTATCAAATGAAGAAGCAGTGAGATAATCACCCTTTCTCTCATTAGGCTGTGTGTGTGTATATATATATATATATATATATATATATATATATATATATATATAGTTAGCCGGGCGTAGTGGCATGTGCCTATGGTCCCAGCTACTTGGAAGGCTGAGGCAGGAGAATCGCTTGAACCCAGGAGGTGGAAGTAGCAGTGAGCCAATATCGTGCCATTGCACTCCACCCTGGGCAACAGAGCGAGACTCCGTCTCAAAAAAAAAAAAAAAAAAAATCTTGTTTGCAAAGATTGTGTGTGATGGCAAGGTTTATGAGGTACCCCACTGCTGACCTGATAAAGATGTATTTTGTCTCTTTAGAGTCTCAAAGCCTATTGAAATAGGACCTGAATAAAATATATAAGCAAATCTATAATAGTAAAATATTTTTTATTAGATGTAGTCAATGATTTCAGTAAGATTGGGCATTGAGTGTGAGGGCCTTAGTGGATGGGATAACAGCATTAAGGTTGTGGGAATCTACCATGGGGTGTTAAATGATTTTTTCCGGGTATAAGAACAGGGCAAATTTGGCTATTAAATGAAGACGCAGTGGGATAATCAATCTTTCTCCCATTAGGTCTTATGTACAAAGTTTAAATCCATGAAGCCTCTCTTTTAATTTACATTGGATCATATTAATTATTTTAAATGGAGGACCATGGTGTAGAATTTCATCAATTTTTAAGTACCAAAGTTTTAATTTAATTTTAATTTATTACACATTTTGTCAAATTGCTCATGCCTATTATATAGGATATTTTAAGGCAATGTGTGCTATGAATATGGGAAATTAGGCAAGATAATAGTTCTGATGGTTAAGGTCAGCTATACCTATTTGCTCTGTTTTATATTCAGAATTCTCCTAAAGTCATTGGAGGTAAAATAATTAAATTTAGTGGAATCATCTAATATTCTGCTCCTGTAACTTGAGTCTCAGTACTGATTAAGGCAACAGAAATTTGCCAATTTCTGCATTTCACCAGATGTTTAAATTAACTTAAGGACTCATACTTATCTATTACAAAACTTACTACCCAGTTACAGTAATCAAAGCAATGTTGTACTGGCATAAGTAAAGACATATGGACCAGTAGAACAGAGTACAGAACTAAGAAATAAAGTTGCATATCTATAGTTTATTAGTTTTTTTAAATGATGCCAAATAAATTCAATGGGAAAAGAAAAATGTCTTCAAGAAATAGTGCTAAGAAAACTGAATAGTCATATGTAAAAGAATGCAAAACAATGCAAGTTGGACGCTTACATTTTGCCATATACAAAAATTAACTCAAAGGATCAAAGACCTAAATTTAGGAGCTAAAACTGTAAAACTGTTGGAATGAAACATAGAGGAAAATCTTCCTGTGCTTAGATTTGGCAATGGTTTCTGAAATGTGGCATCAAAAGCACAGGTAACAACAACAAAAAATAGATAAAATTTACTTCAAAATTTAAAACATATGTGCAATGAAGGGCACTAGTAAGAGAATGGGAAAAAAATGTTTCCCACAGAATGGGAAAAAAATCTGCAAATCCTATGTCTGATAAGGGTTTAATATCCCGAATATACAAAGAACTCCTATAATACAAAAACAAAAAGAAAAACTCTACCGTATTCATATTTAATTTTTTTTTCCTTCCAGAGAGCCTCAAATCAGTGTCAGCAAGTTAGTAACCTCCTCCACAGCAATGGTTGCTTCTTATGGATTAAAATCTTGGGTTAACTTGCTTTTAAATTAACCTCTTTGCTGGATCACATGGATGCCATGGGCGTTTTTCCCCTATAACCTTGAGTTATAACAGGATCTTTGTTACAAAAGAAGTGTAGGCAACAGAATGTTGTAGTCGAAGTGACCTGTACCCGCAGTCCAGAGACCAGTGGATTGAAACCAAACTCTGCTTTTACCATTCCCCTTCTAATGTATGGGACTTTCTTTCTCTTTTCTCTCTATAAATTCTTTCTGAATATTTTAGGTTCCTAGTTGCACATAGTCAACTACACTTGCCTCTCATTAGAATCTGATTTGAGGATCTTTGTTTCTGTCTTCTTCCGACATTCTGAGAGGTTATGGGGAAAAGTTTGATAGTCTGTGGCCAACCTCATAGGAGGTTTTCTCTTCCCCCAAGGACTTCTAGTTAATCTTCCAGAAGTGATGTCTACATCTAGTAAGTTCATTTTGTCTGTGGCCCAAGTGTGGCTATCAAGTCTGGTGATCAAAAGATTAACTCTGTGGCATACTGGTAAGCAGTAGCATTAAATAAAACTTATTAAGACCAGCACATTGGATAGGGGTTTTGCATTGAGGCAACTGTTGTGTTATCTCCTCTGGTGGGTTGGATGACTAGACTAGATGCCTGTTCCACTTTTTCCTTCCTTCCCTCCGTCCCTACCTCACTCCCTCCCTTGCTTCCTTCCTTCCTTCCCCCTTTCTTTTCCTTTCTTCCTTTCCTTTCCTTTCTCCCTCCCTCTCTCCCTCTCTCCTCCCTTCCTTCCTTTCCTTCATTCCTTCCTCTCCTTCCCTCCCTCCCTCCTTCCTTCTCTCACTCCTTCTCTTTCTTCCCGCCCTTCTTCCTCCCTCCATCCATTCCTACCTGCCCTCCCTCCCTCCTTACTTCATTCTTTCCTTTCTTCCTTCCCCTCTGTCTGCCTCCATCCCCTTGTTCCTTCTTTCTTTCCTTTTTTTCTTCCTTCCCTCCCTTCCTTCCCTCTTTACTTCCTTTGCTTTTTTCTCCCTGCCTCTCTCCCTACTTCATTTCTTTATTTTCTTCCTTTCTTCCCTCCCTTCCTTAATTTCTTCCATCCTTTATTTATTAATTTCATTTTTCATTAGTCCATGGGGCTCAGGCTACCACAGATGTACACCTCATACACTTGGAGGTAAAGAAAGCATACATGACAGAAGCAAGGGAACTAGCAGTACAAGAGATGAACAAGGTTTCTACTGTTGAATGAACAACTGTTCTTTTTAAGTAACTGAGATGCCATACTTAATTCAACCCAGGATGCTGTCTCCTTTCTTTCTGCAAACTTTAACATGATCTTCCCAGCCCAGAAGTGCACAATCACAACGTTCATATGACTGTCTCAGGCATCCAGTGAAGGTCACCAAGCTGAGGCAGTGACCAGAGAGCTGTAGCCTTATTATTGGTAAGTGGAATTCAAGCACTGACCAGTTAGACTGTGTTGTTACAGCAGGAAACCTCAGAGACCACCTGCCAAAGCCAAGCTGAATCTGGACATATATCATGTTAGCGTATAGTCACTTAACAATTATCATCTTGCCTCAGAAGAGCATTTTAAGGTGAGAAGAAATGGTAATATTTAGCAAAGTCAACAGAGTACATAACAGGAAAAAAGCAAACCCTCTAGCAACTGGCAGTTCTGCCTTAGCCTTTGCCATATCATAGAACTAGATAGTTACCCAAGCAGCAGTTATTTAAAGCTGATGAGATGTTCTTGGTCATGGTTGCATGACCTTGTTTGTGACACCATTTGTTTTTATTGCCTTGTATTTACTCCACTGGTTATGGAGTAACCAACCATACTCCATATGGTTACCCACAGGTCCTGTCATAAATATACCTAATACAAAATATGTCAATCCAAAATATGTCAACGAAAGCATGAAGCTATGCATAATAGCTTTGACCAGAATATACATTTGTATCACAACAATTATGTATCAAATTTAGTAAGTTGGTAAACCTTTTCATAAAGTTGATATGTTTCTAAAGACATTTTAACTGAGAAATATTAATTTTCATGTGAATTCCCACCCTAGGGTTAGTGGGAGGCCAAACACACGACATGTAACACAGGACAGATGATATTGAGAGCAGGTTGTCAGCTCCATATACTGACAGTATGGGGAAATAGGACATTGTGCCACACATGGGTTGCAGTCAGAACAGAGAGAACAGTCAGGGACCGTGAGAGGCAGGTTTGTTGGTGTCAAGAGGGTGAGGTGTCCCTGTGGTTCCCACCTGAGAATGTAATTGGCTTGTTTGAATAATTCTGCAGGCTATCAGGGAACTGAAACCCACTACTCAGGGATAAGCAGAAACTGCACCTAGTCTCCCTGATAGGAAGGATCATTTGACTAGGGGGCTTTTTTCACAGGAGCTGAGCAAGAAGACGCATGTGCACTTATGCTATCTGAGGCTCTGCCAATTTACCAGATGTCAAACCAGCACATCATATTTTTTACACTTCTTTCACTTCTTCCCTCCTTCTTTTCCTCTTTCCTTTTCTTCCTTCCTTGCTTCTTTGCTTTCATTGTTATTTATTATTTCTGTTACATACTTATTCAATACACATGTACACAGGACTGATATTCTGCAGATATACACCAGTACAGCCCAATGTAATGTGTAAGACTATCATCTGTTCTAACTGGCTACACTCATCTTATGCCTGTTGTAAAATGTTTACACTGTCACTGATGTACATATCTACAGAAGGTAGACAATGTGAAGATACGGGGAGAACACCATATGTGAAGGTGGTCTCTATAAGCCAAGCAGAGGGACCTACATAGATCCTTTCCTTAAAGCCATCATAAGAAACCAGCTCTGCCAACATCTTGATTTTAGGCTTGTAGCCCTCAGAACTGTGCGACAATTAGTTGCTGTTTTTTGAGCCAGGGGTCTTCAACTCCCAGGTCATGGACCAGTACCTTTTTGTGGCTTGTTAGGAACCAGGACACACAGCAAGAGGTGAGCAGCTCACCAGTGAGCATTATCGCCTGAGCTCCTCCTCCTGTCAGATAAGCAGCAGCATTGGATTCTCAGAATTCTTATGGGAGCTCGAGCCCTTTTGTGAACTGCACATGCAAAGGGTCTATGATTCACGCTCCTTATGAAAATCTAAGTAATGCCTGATGATCTGAGGTGGAACAGTTTCATCCTGAAACCACTTCCCTGCCTTCTCCCCCTGGAAAAAAGTTATCTTCCACAAAACTGGTTCCTGGTCACCCACCCAAAAAATGTTAAGGACCACTGGTTTAAGCCATCCAGTTTATGAAACTTTGTTACAGCAGCCCTAGAAGATGAATAAAGTAGTCTAGATTTTTAAAAATTCAATACAATAATCAGTTGCTAAGCTAACATAAAGAAGGTATATATTCATATTTTATTTAAACTTTAATAACTTTAATACTATTTATAAATACTCTTAAAATTATAAAAATTACAAAAAAATAGATGTATGGCTATAACTGAATGCTTTGATAATTTGATCATCTTAAATGCCTGTGTAAATTTATGGAAGATCTTGCCCTTATATCTGGTTGGAATCCACCCACACATGTAACACTGTAGTTTCATGCAAGTATGTAAATGCAGAAATTTTGAAGCTTTAGAATATTTTATAAGGTTTTTTGGAACTTACCCACATGTCCTGTCATAAATATATCTAATACAAAATATGTCAGTCCAAAATATGTCAATGAAAGCATGAAGCTATGCATAATAGCTTTGACCAGAATATACATTTGTATAACAACAATTATGTATCAAATTTAGTAAGTTGGTAAACCTTTCCATAAAGGTGATATGTTTCTAAAGACATTTCAACTGAGAAATATTAATTTGAATGTGGCACCCTGGAGAAAGCTGGCTAATGGAATAGCATGTATCGTCAGGAGGGGCATAGGGGAAAGAAATTTAAGAACCGCGTCACTTAGATCATGCTAGGAAATTTGGGCTTTATTCTGACATCAGTAGCGGCAGCAGGGAAAGTTTTCCAAATCAGGAGGAGTGTGGGAAATTTACATTTTAGAAGAATCATTCTGGCTTCAGAGAGAAGAATAATTTGTGGCATGGCGAAGGGAACTGATTGAAAAGAGACTTATTACAAGGTTTTTCATCCATGGCAACTTGTCTGTTGCCTAAATTATCCTTGAATTTCAAATTAGTCTTACAACCTATTATCAAAAGCTCTTCTAAAAGAAATTTCTACTTCTCTGTTATTACCCTTTTCTGACTTTTTCAATATCATCATTTTATAAATAAGTTCAAATGCTGCAGCCTTAACAATAAAGCCATCTAGAAAAAAAAAATAATTTCAACGATTTCATTGTCATATTCTAACCCTCTCTCTTCTGTAAGCCCTTCTACCCACTATTAATAAAGGTCATTGTTCATTTAGTGCTAAATCTGCTATTCTAGTCATCATTCCTTTGTAGCTAATCACTTTTTTCTCTGACTTCCATTAACAGCTTCTATCTTGATTGTAATTTTATGATAATAACTTTGGGTTTGGATTTATTTTGTTTACTGGACAAAGAATTCAGTTTTATCTGTCAATATGAGTAATAAGTGAATTGTCAAGTCTGGAAAATTCTCAGCCACTAATTCTTCAACTATTTTTAAATTATATTTTGTCATTATGAAACACTTTTAAGAAGTATATTGGGCTTTCTCCTTTGATTTTTCTGTTTCTTAACCTCAATTTAGCTATTTTCAGATCTCCTTAAATCTCCAAGTTGGGTTTTGAGAAATTTTATCATTTATATCTTTTAGTTTTCAAATTCTGTCTATATATCTCATTTTCTGTTTCTTGACATATAAGACATATAAAAGTGCATAGATTTGTTCTACAGCAACAGTAAATTTTGACATAGAACAGCTATATAAACACTTCTAAGATTAAAATTTTAACACTTCTCATGATCAAGTTTCTTTCCCCTCGCACCACTCTTAGTGATTAACAATTGTCTCCAACCATTAAAATAATCTTGATTTTGACTTCTAACCACGTTGATTAGTTTTATATATTTTTGAAGTTTTTATGAGTATAATAATCCAATGAATATCTGGCTTCTTTTGTTTAATATTATATTTGAGATATAAATCCAAGTTTTTCCATATAGCTGTAGTTTATTTTATTGGCAAGTTATGTTCTATTGTATACTGTAAATCCATTGCATATCTTATATTCATTGTATATCTATTGTATGTTTATCCATTCTATTGTTGATATGCATTTGCAGCAGTTTGGCTTTAAGACCAGTGCAGAGACTGCTTCTATAAATATTATTCTGTACGTGTATTTTCATGCATAAGGTAGGGGAAAGTTTTCATATGAATTTCCAATCTATCTACTACCAGTTATTGAGAACATGGTCCTTTCCTTATCATTTTGCAATGACCCTTTTGTCATAATTCAGGTATCAATATATACCTGGGCTTTTTGTGGATTATGTATTCTGTTACATTGTGTCTATTTTTGCAATGCTATCTAGTGTGATTTCTGTACCTAAATAAGGATTATTGATATATAGTATCATAGGTATCAATACAATTAACGATAAATAATAATGTCATTCTGTTAAATATTTTCTAATTTCCTTTGTGAATTTATTTATTTATTTATTTATTTTGCGGGACAGCAGAGTTTTATTATTACTCAAATCAATTGGGTCAGAGATGAAGTCATAGGGAATTGAAGCTGTCTTCTTATGCTGAGTCAGTTCCCAGGTGGGGGCAGCAAGAACAGATGAGCTAGTTTATCAATGTGGGTGATACCAGATGATCCATCAGATGCAAGGCCTGCAAAATATCTTAAGCCCTGATCTTAGATTTTACAGTGGCAATGTTATCCTAGGAGCAATTTGGGAAGGGTCAGAATCTAGCAGATTTCAGCTGCATGACTCCTAAACCATAATTTCTAATCTTTTGACTAATTTATTAGTCCTACAAAGGCAGTCTAGTTCCCAGGAAAGAAAGGGGTTTGTATTGGGAAAGGGTTATTATCATCTTTGTTTCAAATTATAAACTATAAACTAAGTTCCTCCCAAAGTTAATTCGGCCTACGGCCAGGAATGAATGAGAATAACGTGGAGGTTAGAAGCAAGATGGGGTTGGTTAGATCAGGTTTCTTTCATTGTCTCACTTATAATTTTGCAGTGGTGGTTTCAGTTCCTCCCTTTGGGTTTTATAACATCTTAATCTCAAGGTGTTGGCTAAAGAAGATGGAAAAAGGCTGAAGACTGCTCTAACCTCTTCCTGCTGACTAGGGGTATAGTGAGGGTAGGTGTAATTGACCCCAAGGTGAAAGGAGTAGAACCTCTTTGCAACAGTTTTAACATACTCATGCAGGCCAGGCTGGGGTTCCAAGGCTTGCATGACAAAGGCAGTAGTATTCTTATCTATAGTTTTAGTACAGCATTTAAGGAAACAGCATACTATAAGGTAAATAATGAGTTCTTGGATAAGGAGTGAAATTCCAAGTTTTAAAAGTAAAGATTTGAAACATTAGTTAGGAGATTTGTAGCCCACAAAAAATTTAGGATTTACTCCAAACTTCAGAAAAATAGAAAAACTCAAGAACAACTAACAACAGGTGTATTATGGATTTTTTTAAGCATAATTTTTCTCTCTAGTTTCCATTTTTATTGAAAATAAATTAAGGTAGGTCAAATTTACTTGTAAAATTTGTTTTAATCTTAACATGCTCTGCCTGATTATTTGCATAAAGAGAAGTAGAAATAATTATTTTCCATATAGACTGATTTTAATATTGACTTTGCTGAAATTTTGTTCCATAAGGAATCTAAAATTGTACTTTTTTAGAAGCCTCGAAGCCCAGCCAAGGATTTATCTATGCTTGCAAATACCTGTGAATTTCTCACCTAGACATCCCAAAATAACTTGGGGGCCCTGGGCCTATCAGAAAGCGACATTCTTTACTTACCACAGATCAGGAAACTCGTACTGGGTTTGTGTAGACAAGGTATTAGGCCAGATTTTCCAAGGGGCTTTTATTGGCTCTAGAAGTCAAATTTGTTTATTTAAAGAAAGCATGCCATTCCAATCAAAGCCTTGGTAAAATAACCAGTTTCTCTAATTGTGATGTATTACAAAAGAAAACAGATTCTTATTGCACTTATGCAAATAACTATACAGCCATAAGTTGAGAATACTCACAAACAGTTTCTAAATTCTGGAGAAATCAGGTAGAGGGAAAGCAATATGTTCCAAATTTTGCTCCCAGGAGTATACTATTTTCACTTAGTAAAAGTAAATAGCGCAAAAGAAATAAATTTTCTTGACTCTGAAGGCAAAAAGGTTAGCAATGTTTAACACATCCCCTCTTCACGACAGTCCTAGAAGTTTTGTTTTCTCCTCTATTCTAATAGCACAATTTTTAAAGTTATCAGAGATCTGCATTTAAGAGTACCCATCAGAGTCCTACATCTGATTATAAACTGCCTTCTGAAAAGAATCAAAGCACGACAAAATTGTCTGAGACAAAAGTCTTAGGAGAGCCACTAAAAAACCTACAATAGACTAGGAATTTGTTACTTCTGTAGCATACAACAATTTTACACGACAATTATAATTATTAATAATGTACACTCAATCATATCAGAATTATAGAAGTTTCCCATAATTATGGAATACATACTGATAACATATTTATACAAATACAGCCCAAGGAAAGCCAAATGCTATTTCACATTTGAAAATGCTTCTTGTATGATTTTTATATCAAATAGGCCAAATATGTCATTTTTGGACTTCAGGGGACCTAATATCTAAAAGCATAATTAGGTTAGAAAAAGACATACATTATAATTTGATTTTGGAAAATTTTTCAAATATCAAAGGTTTAAAACACTAGATGTCACAAAATAGAATCTCAGGTCACCATAAATCATTCATATGGTCAAAATAATAACTCCAAAATTTTATAAAAGGAAAAATCTTTACTGTGATAGAGGGGACTTAATTTTCCAAACAATAAGACCCAATGAGGATAGCATGAGGCAAGCTGAATCTGTCTCTTTTCTCTCTTATCCCTTTTCTCCTGCCATTTATCCAAAGGGGCAAACAAAATCCTTTTTTTTTTAATATTACATAAAAATGTTTTTCAAAAGAGAAAACCTAATTTCATATTTGCATTAGTGCATCTTTAATGCTGTATTAGTCCATTTTAATACTGATATAAAGAACTACCTGAGACTGGGTAATTTATATGGAAAGGTTTAATTGGCTCACAGTTCTGCATGGCTAGAAAGGCCTCAGAAAACATGCACTCATGGTGGAATGTGAAGGAGAAGCAAGCACCTTCTTTACAAGGTGGCAGGAGAGCAAGCAAGCAAGGAGGGAACTGCCAAACACTTTTAAACACCATCAGATCTTCTGAGAACTTACTCACTATCAGGAAAACAGCATGGAGGAAACCGCCCTCATGATCCAATCACTCCTACCAGGTCCCTCCCCTGACAGATGGAGGTTACAATTCAAGATGAGATTTGGGTGGGGACACAGAGCCAAATCTTGTCAAATGCTGAAGCTAGTTTTTAATAAAATTTATTAATCTATTCAGCTTTAATTTACTTTGACCATAGCATAAGATTTGTATGAACTTTTTAGAACCCTTTACAATTTTTCATTAAACAGCAGATTAATTTTCTAAGAAAGCTATGTTATTTGGACACATAGGCCGAGATTCTGGCCCTATATAAGTGTGTTTTTAATTTTAATATTCAACCTATGAAAAAAAAATCCCCTTTAAATCTTAGCCAACTTGCTCATACCCACAAAACTTTCTTTACAAGATCCACCCTTCACAAAAACTTTTCAATTTGCTTAAACCTTCAGTTATGTCCCATTACTCTTTTAGGTTAAGACGATCTTTAAAACTCTCTGAACTAGACAAAATTACATTCCCTTTAACAAAAACCATATTCTCATGTCTTCTTATAATCTCACACAAAATCTATATTCTCCTTTCTTCTATACTTTGCAATCGTGCATATAAAAATGTTTTTTCAGTAGTCCCGAGTACATGTTACATTGTTAACTTTTAGCAATTTTCATTTTTTGGTGAAAAACCTGGTAAGTGATATTGTTTTAATTATGTACAAGGTGTGGAGCCTATGACATCAGATAGAAGTGCAGATAAAGTCTGACTTTTTTCAGCATAGCTAGGGGGCATGGTTAACTCCACATGTCCTCAGACCTTAGGTAAGTGAAACAATTTTCAAAAGTCAAAGAAGCAGTTTATGACCTTCAAGCATTTAGCAAACCTAATATCTTACCTAATTTAAAGCAAATGTCTAAATGTTGAAGACATTGTTGTTTTAACAATAATCTTTAAAACTGTCTTTATTTCCAAGAGATTGCTAAAGTCAAGGAACAAAAAGACATTAAAAAGTTTCTATTTTCTTGTGTTTATTTTCTAAGACAATCAGAGCTCACCCACAACACATATAGATACATAGACAGAGAAAAGATTCAGTAGTTGTAAGATTTTTTATGTGCCAGTTTTTTAATTGGATTACTAGCTTTAAGGTGGAGTCCTTGGTTATGCCAGGAAAGCATGAAGTTTCTAGGAACTAATAAGCAGGCACAGCTGGAAGGCAAAAACAGATCCCCAGCATTAATGGTCCCATTTTTATATCACATCCTGTATCACCCAAATGAGGGAAATGCAGTGGGAGAAGACAGTGCAATGGTTTTACTATGCATTTCAATGCAAGGCAACCCCAAGCCAATCAACCCATTTTGTAAATCAGCCCATCCCCCATGAAGGTCTCATCTCTCAGTGGGTATAGTGATGTTTCCATATCTTCTGGGTAGCCAGGAGCATGCTTCTCTAATCCAAGCATCGAAGAGCTGACTATTCCCCCATAACTGCCATTACCCATCCTCTAAATAATATTTCCTACTTATTTGTTACCAAAGTTCTCTCATAATGCAAAGTAGTTTCTGATACCCACAAACGTCAAAACTGTCAGCTAACACAATACAAAATAGAACAGCCTTAGATTTTGAGAGGGATCAATCCACTTTCAATTCCTGATGTTTCATGAGGAAATCAGGCTTTTCTCAGGATAGGATCTGTGGTTCCTCCTCTGTTTCTCCCCAGGAGTTCTAGGATGTTGGAATTTATCTTAGGTTCTCTCATGTGGGCATCAGAGTGACAAGAAGACAACAAAGAGAAAAACAATTCAGTTGACTGAGAAGAAAAAAACTTTTTTTAGAAAAAGACGATTCAAGAAGAAGAAAAAGATAAAGGCCTTTTAAGTATATATGCTTAGATATCTATTTTTAATTAAGCTGATTTGCTGATTTTAACCATAGAGCTCTTTAAAAAAAAAAAAAAAGTCTTTTTAAATCTTATTACCAGACTCCAGCCAGGAAAGCCAATATTTCTGGCTTTTGACTTCTACCACAGGTAACAACCTACATTAAATTAATAAAAAGTGTTAAATAAGGTTGTAACTTAACCATGAACGCATAAGATGTCTCAAAGTGATGGTAAGCAGTTTCTTTTTAAAAGAATTAGAATCTCCCCAAAGGTAGTTCGGGAAAGGAAAAATAAAGACAGGATATCAGAAGCTATCCATGAGGGGAAGAAAAAATATCAGTAAATGGCAAAGTTACACAAATAACAAACCAGAAAGAAATCAATCCTGAAGCCAAGAATTGAACCTGGGCTGCCATGGTCAAAGGACAAAGCCTTAACTACTAAGCTAAATAGCACTGAGCAGTTTCTTTTGCTGTTCCCAGAAGGAGTCTAGAGCAGACAATTTGCAAAGGCTTTTAACTGCCCAAGAATTTTTAGGGCTAACCATGATACAAACTCAAAATTCTAGTCTTCTGGTGGCAATTCCCATCTTCTGGTGGATGATGGCAACCAAGAGAAAGTGTCCCACATGGTCACAAGGTTAAGCTCTTAAGGACACAAAGCAACACAGAAATTTCATTCAGTATTGGTTTCAGGGAAATGCAGCAAAGTTTGTAACTAACCAGCCTAATATGCTGGCTTGAAAAGCAGGCTTATAAGGGTCCTCAACCTGCATGCTATCCTGTGATATCCCTCTCTCCATCAAAGAACACAGAAAAAAACAAACTCTTTGCACAAAGTACACCAGATTTGCTACACCATAAGACTAGTCTCACCAAATCCTTTTTTCTAATAATCAAACCCTTGCAGAGGAGACAAACAGTGATGTTTACCATTTAAACACGAACACACACAGAGACAAAGAGAGAGAGAGAGAGAGACAGAGAAAGAATGGTTAGCAACTTGGCTGGTAAGAAATTCTTACCCTTTCTGCTGGACTACCAGGTTTCTGGGTTCCCTTTCTCTGCAGCTTCCAGAAGAACAGAGTCACTTTGATGACTCTGCTCACTGTACCATAGCTGTGTGGGTCAAGCCCCATTACAAAAGAAAATCATCCTTTTCTGTTTTATGGATCCATAGGCAAAAGCTTCTCAATTTTGCAAGATGTTGCCCAATGGGCTGCATACGGAGCCAAATTAGCATTTTCCATCTCAGACAAAGCAAAATACACATAACAAAACAGACACTAGTCATATCATTCAGCACCCAACATGCACCTGGCAAGGCTCAAACTTTCTCCCGGTAGTTCCTGTCATACTTGATTCACTGAAGGTGGGGAAGGATGACTCTCACCAGGAATTCAATGGATGGTCTCCAGGCAAGATGAAGAATAGTTACCACACATCAGTCCTTTTAAGGTTTTTTTAGGGCTTACTGAATGTGATCAGACTTACAGAGCGTTCTCCAAATTAGGCCTGATGGGCTTCTGTCAGCAATTCCTTCAGAGATCCCTTCCACAAACACAAACACACAAACAAGAACAAGAGGGACAGAAGGCCTTCCAAATCAAGATCCCTAATCAAGAATTCCAAGATTATTCCTTCCAGACTAACCTCCTATTCTCTGTCTAAAAAATCTCCCCCAAATCTTTCCAACTGAGGAGAAGACTCTTCCTACTAATTAGGGAGAGCCAACTGAGACCCCCAAAGGAGCTGAACCAACTGGGGGAAGGAAGGAGGTGTTAGCAGCACCTAGAATACTTACCAAATCAGACACCTGGTAAAAGAGCTTGTATTAGTCCATTCTCATGCTGCTATAAAAAACTTTCCTGAAACTGGGTAATTTTTAGAGGAAAAGAGGTTCACAAGGCAGCAGGAGAGGGAAGAGCATGTGAAGGAGAAACTGTCACTTATAAAATCATCAGATCTTGTGAGAACTCACTCATTATCAACAGAAAAGCATGGGGGAAACCGACCTTATGATCCAATCACCTCCCTCCCTCAACACATGAGGATTACAGGTCCCACCCTTGACACATGGGGATTACAATTTGAGATGAAATTTGGGTGGGGACACAGAACCAAACCATATTAGGACTACAGGTATAGCCACTCCATGGTGGCTGGGGCTACAGACAGACATTCCATAATGGGGCTACAGACAGACACCCCGTGGTAGAGCTACAGATAGACACCTCATCATGGGGCTATAGATAGATACCCCACCATGGAACTACAGTTGTGGGATGTCTCCCCAAGTCCATTTCTCTGTTGCAATTAAGTCCATGCACATTGGGTGGGCAGCGCCTTGCCAGAAGACACTGGACCAGCGTCAGCCCCCAGTCCAAGAGAACTAGGTGGCCACTTGGGCTGGCCTCTGGATCTGTCACTGTATGGGGGCTACCAAACCATGGGCAGGTAGCCACAAGGGCAACCCTGGAGGAACCCCCAAATTTGTAACCACCCACTGGGTTCACCTTGCCTGCTGCCTAGACAGAACCTATTTATCAAGACAGGGAAATTGCAACAGAGAAAGAGTAATTCATGAAGAGCCAGCTGTGTGGAAGACTGGAGCTTTATTATTACTCAAATCAGCCTCTGTTTATGATATTTCTCTTTGACCCATGGATTTACAAATGTTTCTGTTTTTTTGTTTTTCCTTTTGTTCATTTCCAAACATATGGGTATCTTTAAGTTACCTTTTTATTGTTCATTTTGACCTTATTTCTACTGGTGACAGGGAATATATCCTGTATAAGTTCAGTCTTCTGACATTTATATCATGTTTATTTATACTCTAACAAACCTTAAATGATGTTAAATGTTGAGTTTGATCTTGACATAAAATTTGCAGTTTTGGCATTTATTATCAATTATGCCCAGATTTTAGTCACCTTGTTCAAATCTTCAGTTTTGAACAAGCAAAATCTATTAGTTTCTGTTAGTATTAGTTTTTAAGACAAATATGTTAAAATATGCAACTAATGTTTGTACATTCATTTGCTTTTCTCTTACTCTTAGCAAGTGATTGAGAGCATTAATAATTCCAGATCATTGCATCCATAGTCTGTGTTTGTGACTACCTGCAAATGGTATTAGTTACTAAAATGGCCAGGATATGTTTCCCATTTACATTTCTTGTTACCTTGAACTGTCAACTTCCCAGTGGTTTCAGTAGTACTACATCTGTCTTTCTCTGCATCTCTGCATCATTAGATGCATGCCATAACTCTAGTTGTCAAGCCAGTAAAGCAAAAGGCTATTACAACTTTGTTCCTTTTGTTTGTTTGTTTGAAATGGAGTCTCGCTCTGTTTCCCAGGCTGGAATGCAGTGGCATGATCTTGGTTAACTGCAACCTTGCCTCCCAGGTTCAAGAGATTATCCTGCGTCAGCCTCCTGAGCAGCTGGGACTACAGAAGCACACCACCACACCCAGTTAATTTTTTATTTTTAGTAAAGACGGGGTTTTACCATATTGGCCAAGCTGGTCTCGAATTCCTGACCTCGTGATTCACCTGCCTTGCCTCCCATAGTCCTGGGTTTACAGGCATGAGCCACCATGCTCAGCCCTTTGTTCCTTTTCTTATATTTCCAGTGAATTCTCAGCTGTGATCATCACACAGCCCAAAGGAAAAAACATCCCTCAAACTCAAGGTGAAGTTTTCTTCTGTTTGGGTTGTCTCCTTTACCCTGGCTGTATAATACTTACAAGCTTTTTTTTGTTGTTGTTAAGTATAGTTTTTTCTAATTATTCTCAGTAGACTTTATGTAAATTTACTAGTGCATCATTGCCTGAAGATGAGATTCTGATTTTTTCTTTTCCTATGTTTTTAATTAGCTGCTTATCCTACTCATTAGCACTTAAGTTAATTTACCTAAGTATGTTGTTTTGTTTCTTAATTTTTTTTTTACTTGGATATTTCTGAAGAACATTTTCATTGTGGTTTCTATTAATTAATAACTAACATTTTTAAATGTACATATTATGTAACTTTTAAAATTTTTTCTGTTACATCTACTTATGGGGGTGTACTGATGCTGTCATCTTTGGTATTCTTTAATTATTTCCTTTTTTTAAACATATTTTGTTAGTTTTTTACTTCGTATTCTTCAGCTTAACCTTTGTTTGTTTTGTTTTCCTGCAAAATCCCATGTGCCATGGATTGCAAATGAGTCTCTGCAGTGAAGTTTATCACCTGCTTTTACTAGGCAACTGCTTTTTGAGCTACCTCTAAAATTTGCGTCCTTTGGTTTTATTCCAAGTAGACTAGAATAAGCATAAGGAAGCAATCACTTTGACATCTCCCTAGTTTTCTGTTTTTCTAGGATAAAATCTAGTTTAATAGATTCTAAGAACACAAAGCTATTCTGTGACTCCTTCCAATTTTGTAGAATTTTCTTGGTAGATGGCACCTAATTTTGTGTCCTGAATATGACAAAATCGAGATATAAAAACTTATATCCTGTGGAATGTATACCCTATTTGATGTTTTTTTAGAAAATAAGAGGCATTGGAATTTTTCCATATTTGGAGTAGTCTAGACATAACCTCGTTGATTTACCCTGGTTATGAAATCATCCTATACCTAAAGAAATAAAGTATTTCTTAGATTTTATTTATTTTTTTAATGCTGTTCTCTATTGCTTAAAGTAATAACACTGAGTTTGGAAATAGTGTATTTTGTTTTGAGTTCTGAAACTGACACAACTGTATTGAGTGATATGACAAATACTTACAATATGTCAAGCCATATTATCACGTTATTTGGTGCTGAGAATATATAAATGAGTCAAAGAGAAAGTGTTTTCATCCTAATGGATCTTGCAGGAGTATGTAATATTGGAAAGTTATTAAGTCTCACTAAACCACATTAAAAATAAATTTATATTATGGAAATAATACTTGCTCTATTTAACTCAAAGGGACTTCATGAAGTAGAAATTAGTACAAGGGAAATCACATGTGTAAAACCATGTAGACGAAAACTAAAAATGTATCTTTTACTTTTTATTTTCATAAATTACAGTAGCTTAAATTATTACTTTATCTTCCAGATAAAGTACTGTACTCTCCCAGAAATTTAAATTCCAAGTTACTACTACCAAGCCTAACCATGTGATTACTCTTTACTGTTATCATATGCTCTTTGACATTATCTCCATGTAAATTTTCAAATGGACCACCACCGTTTTTTTAGTAGATTGGACTGACCACCTATCTTTCAAAACACTTGCTCAGTTAGGTTTAATTGATTGTAAATTCTCCATCCATTTTTTCTTTAATTTTTAGTTTTCTTCTTTGTTGTTTTGCTGTTTGGTAAATGTAGTAAAATTAAAATATGCTTGCTATCTCTGATGTCGTAGCAACTCTTAAACTCATTGAGAATAACAGCAATTCTCTTTTCTTTATCCTTGTCAGAATGTCTTCTGAAATTCACCTTAAGTCACACAATGTTTATTGAGTTACTATTAAGTGTTAGACATTATCTAGACACAAGAGGTACAGAGATTAATAAACCGTTATCTACATTCGAGAAATTTATAATCTGTTGAAAGAAACAAATGTGTATGCAACGAAGTATACAATAAATAAGAGGCATATGAGCCTGCTCAAAGTGCTATTGAAGCAGAGAGGAGGAAGCAATTCATTCTGACCCAGGAAACTGGAAAATGCTTCATGGAACAGGTGGCAAAAGGGTCCAGTAATTAGTCTATCGAGGAAATAATTTTTTCAATCCATGTGCCTGCTGCCATAGTTTCTTGGATCCTTTTTGCTGGCAATGTAAGAGTTTTAAGGCTCCTTTCAGGCCCAAGTAAATCTTTAAACACCTTCGAGTTTTAAGACATTTCACTTCTGGCCCATCAATAGTAAATTTACAACCTACAGGTCAGAACCAAAAGCTTTTCAAACTGTAATTGACAAATACCAGGGAGCATCTCACTTCATCATGGAAATTTTAAAACTTCAAAATGAACCTGGAGAACATGGGGTGCATTGCCTTCAGTCAGGATTACTTCGACTCTTTCTCCCAAACTCCACTGGGAGTTAAAAACAAATTTCAGAGGGTCAAAATAATCCTAAAAGCCTCTTACAATAGCATGCAGGAAGCAATACTGAGTTCTCACGGTCTCAATATGACACAAATTTATACCATGTGTCAAAACCCTAGAACTAATTTTGCAGAACACTAAATCTGGTGAAACTACAGCTTGCAGTGTAAGATCCATTCATTATTTCCTTTACTGTAACTGTATCCAGCAGTGACTTTAACTTTCTTTCCTGTTTATTAAATTTTTGGAATTAGTGAGAAAAACATATATTGTTTTGTAATGCTTGGTAATTGAAAGCATAGCTAATATTACTGTTACTTTTATGTCATTACATATTTGTGTAGAAGCAGACAAATCTATGATTTTTATTAATTTTTTTTAGCTTAACAGAAATGTATTTGCTCAAAGTTCTGGAGGCTAGAAGTCCCAGAGGCCTCTATTTCTGGCTTGCGCACAGCCACTTCCTTACCATGTCCTTCCACTGGGAGTGGGGAGAGGCAGCACACAAGCTCTCTGTTCTCTTATGAGGACACAAATCCTGTTGGATCAGGGTCCATCCTTAATACACCACTTAATCACCTCTTTATAGACCGCGTCCCCAAATACAGTTACAATAGGGATTAGAGCTTTGTCTAATACTGGGGGGATGCAATTCAGTCCATTAGCACTCCCCTTCCTCAGGGCTCTAACCACATCATGCACATAACTCAATTGTAGCCTGTATCACATGGTGCTCTTAAAATTTTAATTCCTAATTATGAATGCTGCTAAGTGGACAACTTGTTTTTATATTAGGCCTGTAAATTTATGTCTTTGTAAAGATTATTATATTTAAAGATGTAGTAACTCAGAGAAGTAAAATGAGTTGAAAATTTCAGTTAAGCAACCCATCCAGAAATAGAATACTATTGCTACTCTGTCTTTGCTATATGGGGGTCTGTTTTTAAAAATACACATTTCGGGATCTAATAATTGCCTTGTTATTGTTGCTGTTGTACTAACTAGTGAGTTTGTCAGTTCTTTGGATTTTGTAGTTTCTATGCTGTTGTTAGGCACTTGAGTAAATTACTGCACAGCCACAATAATCTTCAATATCTTATAATTATGAATACTGTGAAAATATTCATTTAACTTGCAAAAATAGTGAAACATAAAACATATTTTGTTTTGATTTTTTTCCTACTGTTTCTTGTATTTTATCCACAATGGCAGAAGGATTTTCACTGCTTTCCTAGATGTTCCAAGGAATAATTCCATATTTATTCATGAGGAAACAAAATGAGTTTAGCTGAACATAAATCTTTTCTTAGTAAAGATGGCATATCCTGATTTGAAATAACTATTTTGAAGACTCTTCTTTCTAGAAAATATATTTTTTTAATTTTTCAGAAAATATTCTATTCTCTCACATGAATGTTTAACAAATATTTTGTACATATTTATTAAGTGTAATTTCCAGAGGCAATATATATATAATCATACATATAAATACTTATATAATAATGTATTAAATGAGTTACTTAATGAAATTTGTGTTTTTACAATACTTTCTTCCTCAGTCTGTAGTAACAAAAAGTATGATTTTGAAATAACAGTCACAATATACACACACCCCTATGCACATAACCATGAGTATATTCTTTTCTTGATATTTAAAAATAGGTATTGAATTTTATTCAAAGTTGGTAAGATAATTGGTGACAAATGGTAATTTTAAAAGCCCTTTATTTTTACTACACATAGACTGTTTTTCTTGTCCACTAGAAGAATCAGAATTTAAATGATATCCATGAAATAAATATTACTTGATTGATAATATTACTTGTATCTTTTACATTAATTGGTCCTGAAATGTACAAAAAAAAACAAGATTTATTGTAGCTAGAAAGTGCAGATTCTATATGGATAATATAGGCAATTGTTTCTCTGATATTTAGGGTGATATAAAAAATCTGCCATACAGCCCTACTCTTTTACCTCAGCCCCACCCCTCAAGAACTAGAAGACAAAAACACTGTAGAGACACAGAGAGAGAGAGACAGGTTAGGTCACTAGATTGATATGAGTTGATTTTAGATAAAGCAGTTTCTTAGAGATAGTGGGAGGGAAATTGCCCTGGAGTTGCAGGAGTAGAAATGGGGATATTTGGAATACAATTATTAGAAGGGGTCAGTTCTGTGGAAATCTAGGGCATAAAAGAGAAAAAAGAAAGGAGAAAGGAGATGATAAAAAGAATATGTGTGATTAGGATAAAAAGAAATCCTATTTGCACTCTTGCCTGAAACTGATCTTCCCCTGAGGCTTGAGCATAATTAGAGGGCAAACAAGACAATTAGGACCTGCAGATTTATATTTTACATAGATCCCTGCTTAGCTACTTATTCTTTTATCTTTCCTCCAGGAAATCCAAATATTCATGTTTTAAATCATGTCCTAACCTGTTTTTTGAGTTGGTATCTATAAAAGTACTTATTAATTATTTCTCCATAATGATGGTGTTAGAAAAAATAATATTTTAGTAGCAATTGCAATTTTACTGAGAGATGATTACATGAAACTTAATTATAAGGCAACCAGAATTGTGTTTATTTGATGAAAAATATAATTTATACCAGCACTATTTATTAAAAATTAATGCTGAAAGAGATTGAGAAGTCATTACAGAACAAAAACACAAATGTCAAATCTTAAAGGGAAAGTGTGACTAAATTTTAAGAGGATTTTAATGTGAAAAGTGTGTCTTAAAATCACAAATCCATGAAAGTCTTTTTGGAGGGATGTGGATCTCTAATAGTTCTTTTTTCTAGTGGGAGTAAAGATAGCTTATCCTTTGATGTTTAAGCTGTGAATGTTAATTGCTTTTTGGTATTATGGATAAGTAAATGCTCTGGGTGATGACATTTTATAAATGATTTTGAACTTTATAATTCAACCTGGGCTTGCCCCTCTTATCTACTAGCATTAAGAACCAATATAGTATTTAATCAGCCTACCAGATTGTCCATGATTTAGAGATGTGAACCTGCCCTGATGTATCTTCTTAGGGCTCCAAGGGATGGTTTTCAGGGGTGTACAGGAAAATTCTGAGCCAGTTCAGAAAAAAAAAAGACCTAAATTCTACATCCTAAATTTCCTGCTTTATAATTTAGATAAAACCTCTTAAGGATCTGGTTCTCTTTTTGTTAGGAGTTACATGTTTGAATAATCCTTTAAGCTTCTATTGACTTTCAAAAGTTAAAAACTGAAATCTCTGGTTGAAGAACATAATTTCGAAACTAAAATTTTGAATTGCTTATCATTCATAAGTGGGTATCTCTCTGTAACTATGGTTCCTCATGGTATGCCAAAAGAACAGTAATTAGGTCATATGGTATGGGGCTGGGGCATAATGAACCAAGGGGTATATGTGTTTGTATATGTCACAGGTATGTACTTGCGTTTCCTTTCAAAGTTTTGCTTTTATTAAAACTGACTTTTTAAGTTAAAAACACCTTACTCCCTTAAATGTTTATTGGGAAATAAAAAAAATATGACAGGCTTTCGAGTTTTGCATCATTGAAAATAGAGTAGTCCAAAGTCCAGGTTTATTTAGGTTTTATTGACATTAATTTTTCACATCACTAGAAATGGAAAAAAAAATCAAACTTTCTGGTTCAACATGATTGAAACTGTATATGCAATTTATTTATATGTATGTAAGAGTGAAGCAAGAATGACACTTGATAATGAAGATCAATATAAGCAGCCATTCAAAGTCACCCATGGATAAAACATTAAGGCTGATTGTAGTTATGTGAAGAAAAGTTGTTTAAATTCAGATGTAGAAAAAATAATTATGATGGCTATAAACTCTGAAGAAAACTATGAGTGCAATGACTATTAGATATTATTTCAATATTATATTTTAAATAATGCATCTGGGTGATATATAGTGATACCTATAATTTGAGTATGTGACTAGATATAAGATTATGGCTAGTTATACTTGTTATGTGTACTTTGTTAAACATTATCATTATGAAGTTTATGTAGCAAATGAGATGAATAATTTTAATATATCAAAATTGTGTCTATGCTATCATTACAGCTCAGTAAAACATTTCTCACAAGTAAAGAATAGATTTTGCACGGGAAATTGTTGATAGATTAGGAAACCATAGTGAATTAACATTTTTTGCAAGGTAGACTTAAAATCAAAAGAAAAGAGTGAGGTCATAATTTTACACACAGTTAATATCACTTCTTTTCTATTTAATATGCCAAATTTGTGCAATATTTTACTAGTATTAATTTAAACATTTCTCTTTTGAAGTCTGCCTATAACTACTCATTTATTTTATTATATGGCCTCCTTTATTAATGTGACAGCCATTCACTGCACACTTCATGAAAGACTGGATAACAAAATGTTATTCATATTGAGGAATAAAGATATTTTAGGCAAAGCACTTATTGAACAATTATCCTGAATGAGTCAAGGGAGCAATGCCCCCATGAAACTAATACTCATGTGTATGTAAATAATTCAAAGTAGTTTTAGGATAAATTAGTCAAACATCATCCTCTGAGTTTGGTAGTTATTCTCACGATTTATCATTTGATCTAGGTTCATAATATATAGAGGCCTCAAGGCCCAGGCACCCATTAAGCTGGCAGAAATAGACTTATCATATGACTCCTTTTTCATCACTTATCCCTTATTCATTCATATATATGTAATCTATTAACATTCCCATTACATCAAAATTATATCTTTTGCTCGTGTCTAAAATATACTATTCACATTTCTGAAAAAAAAGGATTAAACAAAACAGTAAATTGTTATATGCACATAAATCATTATTTCAATTAGGTTATATTATTTGTGATGCAGGATTTATATATAAACTTCAACTAATGCATATAAAAATATTTCAGTAAATCCTTACTGTATAACCCCAGCAGAGGAAAAAACCCAAAGCACCTTATGATATCTTTATTATAGAATTATCATATTGCTGTAATTGTTAATTATTTTTCCTATAATTTGGGGACTCCTGGTTATATTAGAAGTTATCTTAGTGACTGACATAGAAATAATGCTCACAAATTCTTACCAGAATAACTTCCATGTTCTTTCCTGATGTAGCCAGTTAGCCACTTCCTTCAAATTTTAAAAATGAGTATAAAATAAAAGTATGTATTTTATAGTGGCAGAAGTTTTATATGATAAAATTCATGCACTATGATTGTTCATGTATCTCACTATGTACAGAAAGTTTTCAATGGAAAGAAAAACAAAAACACCAACAAAAAGCAGATAGAACCAGAAAAAATAATAATAATAGCAACAAAAATTCAGACAAAAATATAGGTAAGCAAAATACACCAAATCAAATAGCATAGTGATAATTTGATAGGCAATACAACTTGTAATAAAATATAATGACTCTGTACCTTTTTATGGATTAAAATAACATGCAAGTTTTTGAGAACATGCCACTGCTATTCAATGCAATTATAATACTTTGGGTTTTTTATTTGCTTGTCATGATTTTCAACATTTACATGATGTACAAGTTGAGGTTTATCTATAATTACCAAAATATTAAATATTAAACTGGAAACCCATGGAATTATTTTGTTTTAAGAAATTGCATATAGAACAAATACAAATTAATTGACATGTAAGTGAAAGAATTACACAAAACAATAAAATAATGGAAATTCAAACTAAAAACCAATATAGCAGGTCATATAGCCCTTATATAAACATTGGTAAGATTAGCATTTCTGAGACATCTTCTACTACCCTGGGATACTTACATGGGTAATAATCAACAGTATTTCCTTTGCTATTGGCTTTAGGTGACCTGTTTTTTACAGTTTCATACATTTCAGTAGGGAATGAACTTTCTGAACGTTTTTCTCTCTCCCAACCAGTTTGCTTACCCCAGAAGAAATATTAAAAGAAAATGACTCTTAGAACATATACAAATGATGTTTTAAAAGCATATATCTTACATACCTGTTTTAATAAAAAGGTACTAAAGTTAAATAAAGGTAGATTCAGCATGAAGGTACTAATTTAGATTATACTTTTGCTTTTGTATGTGAAAAACGATTTGACTAGTGCTATCTTAGTATATTCTTGGTCTAATGAACTAAACACCATTTAATTTGACAATTTCTATTTGGTTTATGATGACTCCAGAGATTTAAAAACAAAATGATGAATATGAGCGATAATTATTGGGGATTACTATACAAACCAATAATGTTCATTTTAAATAAGAGTTCACTGTATGTATTGAGCTGCATATCTTTATTAAGCCACATTAGATCTCATGATCAATCATAACTTGTCATGCATGGCTTACATTTTGACAGTAATTGCCATTGTATAAATGTTTGTTCATATTGCTTAACATACCTGAAAATTTATTATTGCTTTATAATGAAATTTTTATTTTTAAAAAAATTTATAAAATAACATGGTTTGCTTGCCCTAGAAATCATGACTAATAATTAGAAGAATTTACCCTCTTATCAACTCCTACAGATTTTGTCTAAAAATTTGTATCAGCTAAGCAATTACGAATCTTACTTAAAGCTTATGTAAAATAATTTATAATACATTGTAGGAGATTGGTCAGGATGGTGGGAAAAATTGTAGAAAGATGTGTCTGAGTGCTTTTTTCATCTGTTGCTCAGTCAGGGTCTGCGGGTCGGACCCAGCAATACGTGACAATTAAATGAATTCTTGAAAATAAGCAATAGTAAAAGGCATTGGATATGCTGATATTGTATCAAGGTTAAAATTCCTGTGTGTAAGAATTTCAATACAGCCAGGTAGGAGATAGTCCTTGTTTTCATAATGATAAATGCTAAAATATTTAGGGGTGCAGTGCTATCATACCTACACATAATTCTCATATGTTTCATTCCCAAATGATGTATGTGCAGAAGAGGCAGAGAGCGAAAAGGAAAGGTTAACAGTCAGTGAATGTTGATGAGGAGTACACAGATTGCTATTTTGCTATTTTATTATTCCTGCAACTGTTTAAAATAAAAATTGGGAAAAATGAAAGGCAAAAATATTTTTATAGATTCTATTAAATGCTTTCTTTTACAACATGTGGATGCTGGTGATTGTAAAAAAAAAATCCATTGTTTCTATAGTTTTTTACTTTTGTAAAATACTTCCACAAGTTAATTTTCTTTTATATTCATATGAAACATCTATTAAAGAACAGAATAAAATAATCATTATTGATTAAAGATTTGCCAAATTCCTGGTTTGTGACATAGATTAATTCATTTATTCCCTTTCAACTTTAAGAAACTGATGACACAGTTATGCTATTACTTTTTATAATGTAAGGAGGTAAAGACAAAGTGACTGAGTAACTAAACTCACAATGTTAACAGTATAGCCTGAAATCAAAGTCAGTTCAGTTAAATCCCCAAAGCATAGAGTCTTAGCCTTGTTTCAAATATAAGCAAATTTGCACTTGCCAGAACTTAATGTTCCTAGCTGTTTAGTGATCAGATGGGAGAAGAATGTCAATCACTTGAGTCTTAATCTTTATACTATTTCTGTTGGAAGTGATATTTGTGAGAATGGGTCCAAATGTAATTATTTTCAAATAGTTAGCCTAGCTGTATTGTTATAAAGATTATCCTATTTTTACAGATAGGTTGGAGAAAAACCAAATAGGTTTATAACCTTTTCTGTGGTATTCTCAAAAGTGCCTACACAGTCTGCTAAAACATTATTCAGTTAGGCGTATTGGCATATTTATCTACATGATAGCTCTGGCCACGTCTAAAACAAGAGAAGCAGTAACGGAATTACCCCATTCATGATGACCAGTCAGTGGTAAGTATGGATTTCCACATTGTTCTTCAGCCAGGGAGAAGATTATGAAATATGAAAGTAGCTGAATAGTGAGGGTACAGGAGATGGTAACTGTCCAATTCATGAGCTGCTTATAATACGAATCTCAGTCACCACATAAATCAACTATGAAGACAGAAACCTATGACACTATCTATGAACATTAGATTTCTCCTCGGTAACTATGACACTACCTATGAACATTAGATTTATCCTTGGTAACTACGACACTACCTATGAACATTAGATTTATCCTCGGTAACTCTACTTTGATAAATCTCAGAAATCCTTAGGTTCTTTAACATCAAATACACGTGAGGAAAACACCTTGCAAGATTTGAAATGAATGTTATGTAATTCTAATTTTAGGTTTTGTGTTTTTTTCAATCACCATGACTGGTATATGTTCAGTAGTATTTGCATTCATTGGTGCTTTTTTTTTCATGATTTAACAATAAACATTAGATTAAACCAATCTCGGCCTTACTTTGAACTGGTGCATTTAAATTGAAGGAATATTTGCACATTTATTCTTTTGGCTCAAGGTTTCCTGTACATTGTTTTTCATAATATAGGCATTTTATTTTTCTTACATATGATATACTACTTGTTATCTGAAAATTGCATCAAATAATAAATTACATAACAAAAACAACAAATCTTTCAATGCCATTCAGTTTTTTATTTGGCCTTTCAAGGCCATTCATTCAGTTTTTATTTCCATTTCTCCTGTTAGGTTTGCACACACTCACAGAAAGACCTCTTTCAGAAGTTTCAAAAAATAAGTAGTTGCAAAGACCGCTCCTTGAAAATACTAAGGCATTTCTTTGAAGATACTAGTATTTATGAGAGCCTAGTAAGAGACATTTATGCAAGTGTATTAAGTAAATTGCAAAATCAGCTTGCTCTATGAAGATCTAGGAATTTCCTAAATCAAGCAGAGCCAAGTGTAGAGAAAAAGGCAATATAATAATTATCTGCTTTCTAGTCCTTCCTTTTAGCCCCTGGAGAAAATAGTAACCACTTTCTGTGTTAAACAAACAAAAAGAAGAAAAACAGCAAAACTGAAAGAAACTAACAAACAAATCCCCTCAATATTTGATTTCCAATTTGTGAACCACTCCAATACAGATAATTCTGAGAAGCATGTAACAACCAATAAGAAAACCTAGTATGTTTGCTTTAAAGTCATAGACTAGTTTTCAATGGATAGTCAACTAGCATTGGAAATAAAAGAGTAAGATCAATGTTGTATAAATTATTGGAGGAATAGACAACGGGTCTCCAGAGAAGTATCTGTTGGTTGAGATTAAGATTAGTATATTTGTGTGGGAAGATAACTTTATCTGCTTTGGGGTATAAGAAGGGATAATATATTGTTAGTTGGCATTGAAACACCCATCTTCATGTTTTAGGCCCATTTCAAATATCTACCATTGTCTGTGGTAACCCCTAGTAACTTCGTAATATAAACTTCTTTTTGAAAAGTAAATGATACATATTTTAAAATTGAAAGCTGAATTGCTAAAAAAAGAATGATATATTTTAAAGACTTCCAAAGTGAAACTCCAAGCATACACTAAATTAACAGCCTCCACAAAAAATGGGCAGATGGCAGAATAACCAAGGAGGTCAGATGAGGTCCAATTTTATTTCTAAATAACTAAGTGAAATAAAACATGTTCTGTGTAGCAACTCTTTTTTTACTACTGGGAGCAGTCTATGTGTAACAGACTATCACTGTCTCATTTCAAAGTGTCTTTGATTCAGAGTTGTGTACAATTTCTGCCTCCTCAATGATCATTTACAGTGTCAACTCTTTCTCTCATCACTCCACCCTCCCTCCAACCCTCAGAGGTTCAGAGCAACTTAACTTGATACAGGCAGAGTTATAAAGACTATGCAAAGATCGTACAGAATTAACAGGAGCACTTTCAACAGATGCTGCTAGCCAGAATGGAGCTAAGGTTTAGTGACTGGCCGGGCGCGGTGGCTCACATCTGTAATCCCAGCACTTTGGGAGGCCGAGGCGGTCAGATCACGAGGTCAGGAGATCGAGACCATCCTGGCTAACACGGTGAAACCCCGTCTCTACTAAAAATACCAAAAAAATTAGCCGGGCATGGTGGTGGGCGCCTGTGGTCCCAGCTACTCGGGAGGCTGAGGAAGGAGAATGGCGTGAACCCGGGAGGCGGAGCTTGCAGTGAGCCGAGGTCGCGCCACTGCACTCCAGCCTGGGTGACAGAGCGAGACTCCGTCTGAAAAAAATAAAAATTAAAAAAAAAATAAGGTTTAGTGACTCATCAGTGGACATTCATCAGTGTCTCTTGCAGAAAACATGGATTTGCTCCCAAAGAATAGAGTGGTTTTCGTTAACTCTTACTAAACACACTCTTTATTCCAATGTAGTTCTTTCAAGTCTCTGTAATGTATAAATTGTATTTGTATTTATTTACTTTTCTATATTCAACATTATACTCATATGTATACACATCATATACACACCCACACACATACTAATTTTATTTTCTCCTTTTCACCTCATATTATTAAATATTGTTTTATAACTCTATTTTAATGTTCTATCAGTGAGGTCAGGCTGCCATAACAATATACTACATGATGGGTGACTCAAACAATGTACATTTATCATCTCACCGTTCTGGAATACGGAAGTCTAAGATCAACATGCCAAAAGGGTTGGTTTCTGGTGAGGCTTCTCTCCTTGGTTTGCAAGTGGCTGCCTTCTCCCTGGATCTCATACAACCTTTCCTCTGTGCATGCATGGAGACAAATTTCTCTGGTGTCTCTTCCTCTTTTACAAAAACATCAATTTTTATCATATTAGAACTGCACTCTTATGACCTCATTTAACCTAATATCTGCAAATACAGTCATACTGAAGGTTAAGGCTTCAACGTAAGAATTTTGAGGAGAAAAAATTTAGTACAGAGCAAATGGTTAAATCAAAGAGCTATTATAATATTTGACTAACCATTATCTTATGATTTCAAATGATTTTAAAATTTATTATAATTAAAATAATGTTGAATTTAGATACATTGCGTGTTTTTCACGTAGGTCTTAGTATTTACATATGCTACACTCTAAGGTCCTTGATGCATATTGTATAATTCATTACCAGAAATAATGAATTGATTTACTTTCCCACTCGTGGGCCTTTAGGGTGTCCAAGAAAACCAAAATAGTAAGTGCAAGAATAAGATAGGGAAGTGGCTTATATTTCTATGTCTCTCTTCCAAATCCATATCTGGACCTGCCAGGAAAGCAAGTGAGAGTTAACTGAATCCAAGAATATGTCAAATGTATAAAACATCAAGTAGTTTAAGAAAAGTAAATATTTTTTAAAAACTGTAAAAATAGATTTTAAAATGTCATTTGTATTGGTTGGAGTACATGCTAAGCTGTTATAATTAAGAAATGCAATATAGCGATTTAAATAAGAAAGAAGTTTATTTCTCTCTTATATAAGTTTAGAGAATTTGGGGGGCAGTTCAGCACTTAGAAGCTCTTCCCTACATGGGTAGCTGGAGACCCAGATGGTCAGATGCAGGGGTCTGCCCCCAGACCCTGACCCAAATGATGGATGAATGAAGTACACAGACACACAGATATTGTTCTTTGCCAGTCCAGCTGAGTGGGCTGAGTGTCCCGGCCACTTACAGACCCCAAGCAGAGTGCTGTAAACAGTTGCAACCATGCCCCCGACTTGCCAGCAAGAGTAGCATTTACTCAGCAAAGATTAATTGACATAGGTCGTGAGTAACACCACTAGAGGGTAATTGACATTTTGGACTTCCCCAGTAGAAAGCAATTAAGCACCCTCCGTAGATCAAAGGTTAGTCTTACCACCACATGAGTAAACAAGCTAGCTAGGTAACTTCCCCACATTACTTTATACCCACTTTAAGCTATTTACTCAAGCTAAAGATCAGGTTGCCTTCAGCCATAACCCTTACTAAAGCTATGCAAACTTCTTGGACTTCCAAGAAGGTTTGTGACTATTTCTATAACTATCTTTAATATTTTTGCCACTGGCCTGATTGAACTTCCACAATCAGACTAAATGTCCTTCAGTATATAGTTTTACATTAGTGTCTGTCAATGAGAGACACTCAAGTGAAATTAGAAGGTGAACAAAGAGAGATCATTACTTTCTAGAGGCTATTTCAAACAAGATGTGTGAATGTGAACACCTAAGTAGCTTCCAGGTGTATTTCTAGAACACATAAAGATTGAATGGTGCTGTGTATCTGATGGCAAAAAGTGACACGCTGTGGGAATTTTCTAGAGTTTTTTGAGAATTGTTGTGCTTTCAGACAGAGTCCTAGAAAACAAACTGCAACATTCTTTGGCCTTTACTTATCCAATTATAGTAAGCTTCTGATTCTTTATCCCAGAACTCTTCATATTTGTTTTTGTAAACAAACTCTAACCAACTTAGCATTATGTATCAGAAGTAGTTTCAGAAAACAGAAGCTCAGTTTCCCAAACCTGTCACTGGTTCTCTGTTCTAGTCAAGTTTGAATGCAGTAATAAATTCATTACAAATACAAATTTAGACCCTGATGTTTTATTGAATTCACTGGAAAAAATATTTTCTTCAATTATTAATTGCCTGGAATGAAGTACCTATAGAAGGCAAAGTGATGGGAAAACTCTTAGCCCTTCAGTTAAATATTGAGGAGAATAAATAATACAGGTATACATGACCTGTTGGTTTGAGATTTGTACCACTTAAACTCTGAATAATTTGCAGAAAAAAAATTGTAAGTTTAGAGTTTTATATTCCCAGATTAAATCATGAGAGGAAAACTGAAGAGCTTTTTTGATTACCCTGAAAATTTCCTAATTTCTTAAAGCAAAAAGGTTAAATTTTCAGGTCTTTGAACAAGTTTGATTCTACAGAAGACTAAATTTCATTATGTACATTTAATTCACAGCCTCATCAGTTCATTTAAATTGAAGGCACAATGTTGATTAAGAGAGACTAAGACCTTGAATTACAATGTAGACATTTGGGTGGATTCTAATGAGTAAAAGGACCTTGAACTTCCCTCTGAGCTTCCCTTGCCAATAGAAATAGCCATTCCTCCCCATTTGGAGGATTAGCTAAATCTTGCCTGACATCCCTGCAATGATTGCACCTAATAAAGTAGCCTTATAGGTAGATGCCGATATTCATTTCCAACATCCATAACTTCTTTCTTGCTTTCAGACTCATATTTAGACTCAAATCCCAGCATACTGCAAAAGGACGACTGCAAAGCCTAAACTGACAGGATGCCCCTTGTACAATGAAGAATGGTATAATGCTCTTGGCTATATTGGCACAAACCTGATGAATATGGGTGAGAATAATTTATAAGACTGTTATGGCCAAGTGCAGTGGCTCATGCCTGTAATTCTAGCACTTTGGGAGGCCAAGACAGGTGGATCACCTGATGTCAGGAGTTCAAGACCAGCCTGGCCAACATGGCAAAACACCGTCTCTACTAAAAATACAAAAAATAGCCGGACTTGGTGACACACTCCTGTAATCCCAGCTACTCGGGAGGCTGAGGAAGGAGAATAGCTTGAACTTGGGAGGCAGATGTTGCAGTAAGCCGAGATCGCTCCACTGCACTCCAGTCTGTGTGACGGGAGCAAGCTTCCATCTTCAAAAAAAAAAAAAAAAGGTGTTATATCAGGGATGAAAAAAATTATTGTTGGATATGGCTGATATTACTGATATTAATACAATTAGCAAAAATGCCGAACAATAAATTTGAGCCATTAACAATATCAAATCTGTTATCTTGAGCATATGAAATTGACTATAACATGGTACTCATTTGTTTGAATGAACCTTGGGGTCCAAAGTGACCTACATCAAATGAAGCTGAGATTTCATCATGTCCCTGTTATACTCTAACGGATTGAATCTAAAGGCTTTAAATGATAAGAGTGTAAGAATAAATTTGTCATATATGTCCTGCTTCGTGTCTCTTAACAATGTCTCCTGGGACTATCCAGAGGACAGTTCCCCCACCAATACCTTCAGTAAATACATTTATGTAGGAAGTACCGACATCCTTGGAAACCTCTATATTGGCTATTCTCTGCAAGCCAAAGTTATAGATAAAGATATTGGTATTGCAATGAGGTCTTAGGCTTTAGTAGGATGACAGGATTCTAGGGTTGCAGACTTCATATAACCATGAGAAATTAGGTCAGCACAGTCATCAAAATGGGCAGCAAGGCTGGCAATAATCAGAATGTTTTGACACACCAGACATCTTTGACATAGATGAGCATTTTATTAAATTCAAGTGTGGAAATTTCATGACTTACCTAATTCCCAGACTTGAGCCATTAATTCACAGACCTAGATTGTGGACTCTTGAGTCAATTAGATAATTTGTTGCATTCTGAGTATGTGACTTCTGTCTTTTCATCAAAAGTGTTTTCCTCCAATTAACACCTTCTTAGACAACAGGATTGGCTGTGAGAAAATCTAGGGCCAGCAGCCCATCAAGGAAGTTTCACATATCACATCCTCTCATATCTCATTGGTTTAAAATTGCTATCATGGCAATACATAGCTGCAAAGGTGGTTGAGAATGTAACCTGTAGCTGAGAAACTATATTTCTTTTCAAAAGTCCAAGAATTCTATTACTAATTCAAAGGTTTTTATCTACCACATCTATAAAAGTGCTGATGTTTTCTTCTTTGGGACGGAAATTAATATAGTTTAACATTTTTTCTACAAGTACTACTGTTCTCTGCTCACTTGACATATACAATATATTTATAATCTGGTACCCCAAATATGGAATAATACAAATTATTTGCAAGAAGTTATTTAGTACGTCTAAAAATTAATCACGGTCTTTGTCATAAAGTAAGTTTCAATAAATATCAGAGAATTGAAATTATAGAATCCTGTCTCTCTGATCATGGTGAGAGAAACTAAAAATAAGAAGAAATAACTAGACAAAAACTCTGTTTTCAAATTTTAAAAGCATTGCACTTCACATAAATAATGACGCTACAATAAAGAATAATTAAAATTAGAAAATACTTTTAACAATTATATAAAACACACATGGGATGAAGCTAATGGAGAACTTCATATCAGTTGAGTACATAAGGAAGGATAAAATTCTGAAAACAATAAGTGAAGTGTTCATTATAAGAACTCAGGAAAAAAAACAGCAAAATTAAAAAGATCAATACAAACTTTGGTGTTCTATAATGAAGCCTTTTCTCCAGCATGCTCTTATTTCTCTCAACTTCTAAAAACAAATGAAAATATAACCTACCATTATAATTGTTTTTTCTAACAAGTATCTCAAAATGTATGTGCCCAAATCTGAACTCTAGACTGTTCATCTTATTGTTATCTTCATTTCAGTAAAAGTTAACTCTATTGTACCAGTCACTGATGACAAAAATTTTGATGGGCAAGTTGGCTTCTCTCTTTCACCTCTTCTATAGCTGATTCATATACAATATTTTCTCTTTTGGCTTCAGACTAAATCTGGAATCTGATAATTTATTAATAGTTTTATACAGTTAAAAAGGAACAAATTACTGATAAGAACAATATCACAAATAATTCAAAAAAATTATGCTGAAAGTGAGAAGATAAAAGTAAAACTGCACATACTTTGTGATTCTATTTATATAATATCCAAAAATTAGTCTATGACTTAAAAAATCAGAAGGGTTATGAGGCAACTTTCTGGTATGAAAAGTTTATATATATTGATTGAAGTGTGGGTTAGCCAGGTATAGGCACAATTCAAAATTCACTGAATTGCACTATTAAGATTTGTTCATTTCACTTTACATAATTTTTACCTAAAATGATGAAAATGAGTATTCAGTTAGTAAGTTTACTTTTGATGATGAGATATATTAGCATTCCTAAAACTACCATTTGTTATACTGAGCTTGAGGAAATGAGTAAATGTACTGATGATAATAAAAGTTATTTTTCTTAATGTGGCAAGAAGAGTTAAAATACGGAAGTAGAAATGCTAGCATTAAATCTATATTGTAGCACTGCAGTTGGAGGCATTGGTACAGACTCATGATACACACAATCTATGTGTGTGTGTATGCGTGTGTTCATATATATCTTCTCCTGTCTCTGTTTACAAAAAATATCTAAAAAGAATGCTATTTCAATGGCAATAAGCATCCAACACTAGTTTTCTAAATACAATTCAACATCAAAATGAACCAAGAGTAACAGGTGGTTACAGGCATGTGGCTGGCAAAGCTAAGATGAACCTGGTACTTAATTTAGCACTGGCAAGTAAAGAAGTGCCTAAAGAGATATAAGGACATGTCAAAAGGACACAAAATTTAACTTACAGAGGCTTCAACAGACAAATTTGGGACAATTCAAACATTAAAATAAATAACCAAATTTTAATAATAACTCATTGAAATAAATAAGAACTTATGAAATCATATTGATATAATGAATAAATAAATGGCACAAAAATAAAAGCTCTTTTTATAGTTGAGTGGAAACTAATACATATAGTAGGAATGTGGAAGCCAGAAAATCATCAATGAATGATAAGATATCCAGAAAAACATTGATAAGAAAGAGTATATTTAAGCATTCTTATAGTTTTCCACAGGAAATTGCTTATTAATTACAAAGGAAGAAATAATAACTTTACAGAAAATCTTTGTAGATGCTGCTTCAAGTGCTCAATGTTAACATCACCCATGCAGGGCAATAATGTGCCTTCTGAAATAACACACTGGGGAGGACATTGAGAGGTGAAGCCAGCTGGGCTTCTGGATCAGATGGAGACTTGGAGAACTTTTGTGTCTAGCTGAGGGATTGTAAATGCACCAGTCAGTGCTCTGTGTCTAGCTAAAGGATTGTAAATGCACCAATCTGCACTCTGTAAAAATGCACCAATCAGCACTCTGTAAAATGGACCAATCAGCGCTCTGTAAAATGGACCCATCAGCAGGATATGGGCAGGGCCAAATAAGGGAATAAAAGCTGGCCACTCGAGCCAGCAGTGGCAACCCGCTTGGGTCCCCTTCCATACTAAGGAAGCTTTGTTCTTTCGCTCTTCACAATAAATCTTGCTGCTGCTCACTCTTTGGGTCTGCACCAACTTTAAGAGCTGTAACACTCACTGTGAAGGTCTGTGGCTTCACTCCTCAAGTCAGCGAGACCACAAACCCACCAGAAGGAAGAAACCTTGGACACATCTGAACATCTGAAGGAACAAACTCCGGACACACCATCTTTAAGAACTGTAACACTCACAGCGAGGGTCTGTGGCTTCATTCTTGAAGTCAGCGAGACCAAGAACCCACCAGAAGGAACCAATTCCAGACACATTTTGGTGACCACGAAGGGACTATCACCAAGCAGTGAGCACCACTGGACCCCTTTCACTTGCTATTCTGTCCTATTTTTCCTTAGAATTCGGGGGCTAAATACCAGGCACCTGTCAGCCAGTTAAAAGCAACTAGCTCGGCCGCCAGACTAAAGACACGGGTGTCAGGCTTTCTGGGAAAGGGCTCTCTAACAACCCCGACTCTTCGGAGTTGGGCGCGTTGGTTTGCCTAGAACCATCTTCCGTTTTTCCTGTACTTCCACGCTGAGCCAAGGGTCGACACAGAGGAAAGCCATTAAGCTCCAGGGTCCCGACAACAAGTTGGTTGACCCTGTGGCCATCAGCAGAACTCTCAAAGTCATGTTGCCCAAGTGAGACTCGCCCATCTATCCTATCTATCCTGACCCTTGCCTCTGGGTCCTCAGGCAAACTTCTTCTCAGCTCTCTTCTCCGAGGCTAGCCCCCTTCTAAAAACAACTCCCTGTCTCTGGTGCTTTTCTAGTTTCTCCTATAAGAATGATTTCTAGTATAAACTCCAGGACTTGATTCCCTTCTTTAGGCACCAGGGCTCACCAATCAGAAAGACATAATTTTTGCCCAAAGCCCCGTCATAGTGGGGACTATCTGGATCTTTAGGATCCTTCCTCAGACTAACAGGCCTAATAAAAGCTATTCCTGAAGCTAGGATATGGGGAGCCTCGGAAATTATATACTTCCTATTCAAGTGAGGACAAAAGGCATCACTCTTCCAACCCTGGAGATCGCTTCCCTCCCTCAGGGTATGGCCATCCACTTCATTTTTGGGGCATAACATCTTTATAGGACAGGGGTAAAGTTCCAATACTAACAGGAGAATGCTCAGGACTCTAACAGGTTTTCGAGAATGCGCTGGTAAGGGCCACTAAATCTGATTTTTCTCAGTCCTCTTTGTGGTCTAGGAGGACAGGAAAGGGTGCAGGTTTTCAAGAATGAGTGCGTAATGACCACTAAATCCGACCTTCCTCAGTCCTCCTTGTGGTCTAGGAGGAAAACTACTGTTTCTGCTACTGCGTCGGTGAGCACAACTATTCTGATCAGCAGAGTCCAGGGACCACTGCGGGTTCTTGGGCAAGAGGTGTTTCTGCTGCTGCGTCAGAAGTGCAACTATTCTGATCAGCAGTGTCCAGTGACCCTTGTGGGTTCTTGGGCAGGGGAAGAAACAAAGAAACCAAAACCACTGGCAGTTTTGTCTTTCAGATGGGAAACACTCAGGCATCAACAGGCTCACCCTTGAAATGCATCCTAAGCCATTGGGATCAATTTGACCCACAATCCCTGAAAAAGAGATGGCTCATTTTTTTGTGCACTATGGCCTGGCCCCAGTATTCTCTCTCTGATGGGGAAAAATGGCCATCTGAGGGAAGTATAAATTATAACACTATCCTGCAGCTTGACCTTTTCTGTAAGAGGGAAGGCAAATGGAGTGAAATACCTTATGACCAAGCTTTATTTTCATTGAGCGAGAATACACAACTATGCAAAGCTTACAGTTTACGTCCCACAGGAGGACTTCTCACCTTACCCCCATATCTTAGCCTCCCTATAACTCCCCTTCCTATTGATGATAAGCTTCCTCTAATCTCCCCCACCCAGATGGAAATAAGCAATGAAATCTCCAAAGGACCACAAAAACCCCCAGGCTATCGGTTATGTCCCCTTCAAGCTGTTGCAGGAGGGGAATGTGGCAACCCCGGTACATGTACCCTTCTCCCTCTCTGATTTAAAGCAGATCAAGGCAGACTTGGGGAAGTTTTCAGATGATTGTGATAGGTACATAGACGTCCTACAGGGTCTAGGGCAAACCTTTGATCTCACTTGGAGAGATGTCATGCTATTGTTAGATCAAACCCTAGCCTTTAATGAAAAGAATGTGGCTTTAGCTGCAGCCCGAGAGTTTGGAGATACCTGGTATCTTAGTCAAGTAAATGATAGAATGACAGCTGAAGAAACGGACAAATTCCGTACTGGTCAGCAAACCACCCCCAGTATGGATCCCTACTGGGATTTCGACTCAGATCATAAGGACTGGAGTTGCAAACGTCTGTTGACCTGTGTTCTAGAAGAATATGGAGAATTAGGAAAAAGCCCATGAATTATTCAATGATGTCCACCATAACTCAGGGAAAGGAAGAAAATCCTTCTGCCTTCCTCGAGCAGCTATGGGAGGCCTTAAGAAAATAGACTTCCCTGTCATCTGACTCACTCACGGGTCAATTGATCCTAAAAGATATGTTTATTACCCAATCAGCCGCAAATATCAGGAGAAAGCTCCAAAAGCAAGCCCTGGGCCCTGAACAAAATCTGGAGGCATTATTAAACCTGGCAACCCCGGTGTTCTATAATAGGGACCAAGAGGAACAGGCCCAAAAGGAAAAGTGAGATCAGAGAAAGGCTGCAGCCTTAGTCATGGCCCGCAGACAAACAAACCTTGGTGGTTCAGGGAGGACAGAAAATAGAGCAGGCCAATCACCTGGTAGGGCTTGTTATCAGTGCGTTTTGTAAGGACACTTTAAAAAAGATCGTCCACCGAGAAACAAGCTGCCCCCTCGCCCATGACCACTATGCCTAGGCAATCACTGGAAGGTGCACTGCCCCAGACAGCAAAGGTTCTCTGGGCCAGAAGTCCCCAACCAGGATCAAACAACAGGACTGAGGGTGCCTGGGGCAAGCGCCAGCTCATGTCATCACCCTCACTGAGCCCTGGGTATGTTTAACCATTGAGGGCCAGGAAATTGACTTCCTCCTGGACACTGGCATGGCTTTCTCAGTGTTAATCTCCTGTCCCGGACAGCTGTCCTCAAGGTCCATTACTATCCAAGGAATCCTGGGACAGCCTATAACCAGGTATTTCTCCCACCTCCTCAGTTGTAATTGGGAGACTTTTCTACAGATAGTAAGTATGCTTATCTAATCCTACATGCCCATGCTGCAAAATGGAAAGAACTTCTTCTGGGGGAACCCCCATTAAATATCACAAGGAAACCACGGAGTTATTGCACATAGTGCAAAAACCCAAGGAGGTGGCAGTCTTATACGCTGAAGCCATCAAAAGGGGAGGGAGAGGGGAGGACCGCAGCATAAGTGGCTGGCAGAGGCAGGGAAAGACCAGCAGAAAGGAAAGAGAGAAAGAGACAGAAAGTGAGAGACAGAGAGAGAGGAAGTGACAGAGACAAAGAGGGAGTCAGAAAGAAAAGAGAGGGAAGAGAGTGTGGGGGAAAGACAGAAAGAGAGAGACAGAGAGGAAAAGACAGACAGACAGAAAGTCAAAGAGAGAAGGAGAGAGGAAGAGACAGACAAAGAAGGAGTCAGAGAGAAAGAGAGATGGAAGTAGTAAAGAAAAAACAGTGTATCCTATTCCTTTAAAAGCTAGGGTAAATTAAAACCTATAATTGATCATCGAAAGTCTTCTCCATGACCCTATAACACTCCAATACCACCTTGCTTTCAGTGTAAACAAAGGCATAGCTCGAAAGCACTGAGGCCCCTGACAACCTATAGCCTTCCTATCAAAAATCCCTAAACCCAGCAGGTTTCCTAACAGGGGATCAAAGTCTTAATTAATTACTATACAAAGGTCTGACCAGATCTAGGAGACACTCCCTTCAGGACAGGATGATAAATGGTTCCTCCTGGGTGATTAAGGGAAAAAGACACAATGGGTATTCAGTAAGTGATAAGGAAACTCTTGTAGAAGCACTTAGGAAAATTGCCTAATAATTGGTCAGCTCAAACATGCTAGCTGTTTCCATTCAGTCAAACCTTAAAGTACTCACAGAATCAGGAAGGAGCCATCTATACCAATTTTAAGTAATATGGACTGAATGAGGTTTTATTAATAGCAAAGAAAAATTAAAATCCAAAACTTACAAGGTTTTCAACAAAAGTAAAGTTTGCTAAAAGTTAACAGTGTAACATGTATTATCCTACTACCACACACTCTCAAAGGATTTCTCGGACAGTTTGCAAGAAATAAAAAAATCTATCCTTACTCTACAATCCCAAATAGACTCTTTGGCAACAGTGACGCTCCAAAACTGCTGAGGCCTAGACCTCCTCACTGCTGAGAAAGGAGGACTCTGCACCTTCTTAGGAGAAGAGTGTTGTTTTTACATTAACCAGTCAGGAATAGTACGAGATGCCACCCAGGGTTTACAGGAAAAGGCTTCTGAAATCAGACAGTGCCTTTCAAACTCTTATACCAACCTCTGGAGTTGGGTGACATGGTTTCTCCCCTTTCTAGATCCCGTGACAGCCATCTTACTACTACTCGCCTTCAGGCCCTGTATTTTTAACCTCGTTGTCAAATGTGTTTCCTCTAGGATCAATGCCATCAAGCTACAGATGGAACCCCAAATGACCTCAACTAACAACTTCTACCGAGGACCCCTGGACTGACCCGCTGACCCTTTGACTGGCCTAAAGAGTTCTCCTCTGGAGGACACTACAACTGCAGGGCCCCTTCTTCACCCCTATCCAGCAGGAAGTAGCTAGCGCAGACATCGCCCAATTCCCAACAGCAGTTGGGGTGTCCTGTTTAGAGTGGGGCTTCTGGGTCAGGTGGGGACTTGGATAACTTTTGTGTCTAGCTAAAGGATAATAAATGCACCAATCAGCACTCTGTAAAATGGACCAATCAGCACTCTGCAAAATAGACCCATCAGCAGGATGTGGGCAGGGCCAAATAAGGGAATACAAGCTGGCCACCCGAGCCAGCAGCGACAACCCGCTCGGGTCCCCTTCCACACTGTGGAAGCTTTGTTCTTTTACTTTTCACAATAAATCTTGCTGCTGCTCACTCTTTGGGTCCACACACCTTTAAGAGCTGTAACACTCACTGCAAAGGTCTGCGGCTTCACTCCTGAAGTCAGCAAGACCAGGAAGGAAGAAACTCCGGACACATTTGAACATCTGAAGGAGCAAACTCCTGACACACCATCTTTAAGAACTATAACACTCCCCGCGAGGGTCCACAGCTTCATTCTTGAAGTCAGCGAGACCAAGAACCCACCAGAAGAAACCAATTCTGGACACAACATGATATTATTTAAGTGTCCCAAATGCGTAACCTAAATACAGCCATGAGGAAACGTCAAAAGCACACAAATTAAAGAACAGTCTTCTAAATAACTACCTCATATTTTTTCAAAAATATCAAAAGTAGAATAGCAAAAGACTTACAAACAGATCTAAACTAAAGGAAACTGAAGAGACAATGCAACCAAATGCAATGTTTGGTCCCAAATTAGATCTTGGCAAGATAAATATATCTATAAAGTACATTATTAGGAAACTGTATGATCTTAGACAGTAGTATTGTATCTTTGAATTTTATAATTTTCATAATTGTAATCTGGCTGAGATTCTTTTTTTAGGAAATACTGAATAATTTGGAGTATAGAAATGATATTTGTGTTTTATTTTCAAAATGTTTATAATATATTGTAGAGAGTGAAAAATCAAATATTACAAATTATTAAAAATTGGCAGATCTGGCCAGGTGCAGTGGCTCATGCCTGTCATCCCAGCACTTTGTGGGGGCCAAGGCAGGCAGATCACGAAGTCAAGTGATTGAGACCATCCTGGCCAATATGGTGAAATCTCGTCTCTATTAAAAATACAAAAATCAGCCGGGCATGGTGGTGCATGCCTATAATTCCAGCTCCTCAGGAGGCTGAGGCAGGAGAATCACTTGAACCTGGGAGGTGGAGGTTGCAGTGAGCTGACATTGCGCCACTGTACTCCAGCCTGGTGACAGGGTGAGTCTCCATCTCAAAAAAAAAAAACAAAAAAAAAACCTTGGCAGATCTATGAAAAAGATCTTCTGAGAGTTTCTTGTATTATTCTAGAAAAATTTTTGGTGAGCTTAAAATTATATCAATTACAACTAATCTCATGATAAAAAGATCCTCAGAGACTATTATGAACACCTCTTGGCATACAAACTAGGAAATCTAGAGGAAATGGATAAATTCCTGGAAACATACAACCTCCCAAGATTGAATCAGGAAAAAATTAAAACCCTTAACAGACAAATAATGAGTTCCAAAACGAATCAGTAATAAAAAACTTACCAACCAAAATAAGCCCTAGACTAGATGGATTCACAGCTGAATTCTACCACATAAAGAGGTACTAAGAGAAGGTGGTACCAATCCTGCTGAAATTATGCCAAAAAAGTGAGGAGGAGGGACTCCTCTGTAACTCATTCAACAAATTGGCATCATTCTAATTCCAAAATCTGACAAAGACACAGTGAAAAAAGATATATGCAGGTCAATATCCTTGATAAATATAGATGCACAAATACTCAACAAAACACTAGCAAACTGAATCTAGTAGCATATCAAAAAGCTATTTCATCATTTTCAAGGGGGCTTTATTTCTGGGATGCAAGGTTGTTTCAACATATACAAATCAATAAAAATAATCCACCACATAAATAGAATTTAAAACAAAAACCATGTGATCATCTCAATAGACACAGAAAAAGCTTTTGATAAAAGCCAACATCCCGTCTTGATAAAAACTCTCAAAAAACTAGGAGGAACATGTCTCATGTTTGAAGGAATATGTCTCAAAATAATAAGAGCCATCAAGTGAGACCTAATTAAACTAGAGAGCTTCTGCACAGCAAAAGCCTATGATATTGTTTGGCTGTGTCCTCACTGAAATTTCATCTTGAATTGTAGTTCCCATAATCCCCATGTGTCATGAGAGGGACCCAGTGGGAGGTAATTGAATCATGGGGGTGGTTACCCTCATGCTATTCTCATGATAGTGAGTGATTTCTCACAAGATCTGATGGTTTTATAAGGGGCTTTTTCCCCTTTGCTCGGCACTTTTCCTTCCTGCTGCCATGTGGAGAAGTCGTGTTTGCTTCCCCTTATGCCAAGATTGTAAGTTTCCTGAGACCTTCCCAGTCCTGTGGATCTGTGAGTCAATTAAACCTCTTTCCATTATCAGTTACCCAGTCTCGTGTATTTCTTCATAGCAGTGTGAGAATGGACTAATACAGACTATCAATAGAATAAACAGACAACCTACAGAATTGGACAAAATATTTGCATACTATTCCTCAGGCAAAAGTCTAATATTCAGAATCTATAAGACACTTAAAGAAATCTACAAGCAAAAAAAAAAAAAATGGGTAAAGGACATGAACACTTATCAAAAGAATACACACAAGCAGCCAACAAATATATGAAGGAATATTGAGCATCACTAATCATCAGAGAAATGAAAATTAAAACCACAATGAGATATATTCTCACACCAGTCAGAATGGCTATCATTAAAAAGTAAAACTATAACAGATCTTGGCAAGGTTGTGTAGAAAAGGGAATGCTTACACAATGTTGGTGGGAATGTAAATTATTTCATCCGCTGTAGAAAGCAGCTTGGAAATTTCTCAAAGAACTAAAAATCAAACTACCATTCAACCCTGCAATTCCATTGCTGAGTATATAACTGAAGAAAAATAAATCATTCTACCAAAAAGACACATGCATTTGTATGTTCATCACAACCCTATTCACAATTGCAAAGACGTGGAATTAACCTATGTGTCCATCAATGGTGGATTTGATTTAAAAATGTGGTAAAAATACACCATGGGATACTATGCAGCTGCAAAAAAGAATGAAATCATGTCCTTTGAAGCAGCATGGATGGAGCTAGAAGCCATTTTCCTAAATGAATGAACACAGAAACAAAACCAAATACCGCGTTTTTATTTGTATATGGAAGGTAAACATTGGGTACACATGGACAGAAATATAGGAACAATGGACACTGGAGACAAGGAAGGGGCAAGGGTTGAAAAACTACCTATTAAGTACCATACTCCCTACTTGAGTGACTGGTTTAATTCTACCCCAAACTGCAGCATCACGCAACATACCCTTGTAGCAAACCTGCACATATACCCCCGAATCAAAAATAAAAGTTGAAGCTTAACAAAAAAGTATGTCAAAATTTAAAGACATCCAGCTAGAGTTTTCCTAAGTGTACAGATATTAATACAAAAAGTGAGGTGAGCCGGCCGCAGTGGCTCACACCTGTAATCCCAGCACTTTGGGAAGCCGAGGCGGGCGGATCACGAGATCAGCAGATCGAGACCATCCTGGCTAACACGGTGAAACCCCATATCTACTAAAAATACAAAAAATTAGCTGGGCATGGTGGCGGAGGCCTATAATTCTAACTACTTGGGAGGCCGGGGCAGAGAATGGCGTGAACTGGGGAGACAGAGCTTGCAGTGAGCCAAGATGGCACCACTGCACACCAGCCTGGGCGACAGAGCGAAACTCCGTCTCAAAAAAAAAAAAAAAGTGAGGTGATGCCATCACAATAACTTGACACATGTGTTTAGCATTAGATTAGTATGTTAGAATGACTAATAACTGGTATGTTAAATAAATATAAGTGGGAATATAAAAGAGTCTCATAAAGTTTTGAATAAAAATGTATCAAAAGATTAATATTTACAGGTCAAGATGACAGGAATCTTAAATACACAAGAGTATGTTACTCAAGGATGCACATAGATCAAAGTAGCTATTGTAAAGGTGTATTGTATAAACAGATTTAATAAACCAGAATGCACATCTATGTAGAAAGAGGTACAGACTTCAAGAAATGAGAAGGAAAGCAGCATTAAAAAAAAAACAACAACTTAAAAATAAAACAAAAAGTGGCATTACTTTGGAAGGCTGAGGTAGGCAGATCTCTTGAGCCCAGGAGTTCGAGGCCAGCCTGGGCAACATGGCAAAACCCATCTCTCCAAAAAAAAAAAAAAAAAAGAAAACCAACTATGAATAGTGGTGCATGCCTGTGTTCCCTGAAGTGGGATGACCACTACAGCCTGGGAAATCAAGGCTGTAGTGAGTTGTAACGGCACAGCTGCTCACCAAATGGAGTGACAGAGCAAGACCTGTCTCGTTAAAAAAATAAAAATTAAAAAAAAAATATATATATATATACACACATAGCTTTGCCTACTTTCATCAATATTATCCATCATGAAATTATGAGTGTAGTTACTTAACTTCTCCTTACATTTAGAACTATTTAGAACAATTATTTACATTTAGAACAATCCTTTTAAAGGTAAAGACAATAAAATATGTTCATTGAAATTGCAACTGTTAGCAGGACCTTGACATTTACAACAGTATTTCCCCAATGTAGTTTCCTGCCCCTCAACCCTTCACTCATCCCCCACTTCCCTAGACCATAACTGGAGGGCTTAATAATTTCAATTCAATAAACAACATGGGCGAGATGTGGTGGCTCATGCCTGTAATCCCAACACTTTGGGAGGCCAAGGCAGGCAGACCATGAGGTCAGGAGCTCGAGACCAGCCTGACCAACATGGTGAAACCCCGTCTCTACTGAAAATACAAAAATTAGCCCAGTGTGGTGGCATGCACCCGTAATCCCAGCTACTCAGGAGGCTGAGACAGGAGAATCACTTGAACCCGGGAGGCGGAGATTGCAGTGAGCCGAGATCACGCCAATGCACTCCAGCCTGGGTGACAGGGTGAGACTCCTTCTCAAAAAGAAAAAAAAAACGTAAATAAACAATATGGCATTATGCACTGTGCCACAGATATTTATGTAAGTACCCCTGTGGAACATATTGCTAAAGGTACCTGGCAAGGTGACATAAAACTAGTTGCTAGTAAATATTTGGAGTAAAGAAAATGAAATCTTTGAGGGATAGTACTTAAAGCAATAAAAAATATATATGAAAGAGTATTTAATTGTTATGTCCACTACTTTATTTGGCTTCATTTGTTTAATAATTGCTAAGCTGATGTGCTGCCTTAATCTTGGAAAGCTTTCAGGCACAAACAGGAGCAAATTTGTTGTTAGTTTTAAAATGTATTTATTTTATTGTTAATATATTTTGGTAGCCTTTTGCAATACCATGGAGTAGCATTGAATATATCATGGTGACTATTGTAAAACAACTCTGGAAATATGCTGTTCTTCAGGGAAAATCATGTGGTTTCACTGTGCTTAGGTGACAAGTGACAAAGAACAAACAAATCAGAAACAAATCAGTCACCAGTAACATTTTTTCCCTTGACTGAGCTTTTGTCATTGTCACAAAAATTGCAGAATATTGGAGACTTGGACCACATAAAGCTTTAAGCATTCATTTTCTTTTTTGTGATTTTTTTTTTCCCACCTCATTTTGTTGTATTTTAAATGGAATTTGTTTCAGTTTCCAGCTGCTGCATATCCCACAGCAGTGAAATTCTGATATGATGCTTTCAAAAGACTTAAATAGTTTCAGTGATTATTTAGGCTTAGCAGTTTGTGGGATAATAAGTTGGAGTTTACCACTGGTAGCATTTTAAATGAGCGAACTTCATTTAGGAGTGAAGAGGTCAGTAATTCAGAATGTTCTATTTCAGTTGGAGAAGAAAAGTAGATCACAAAGAGAGTCCCAGTAGACCCCGTGATCAAGCAGAAAGCAGAGGATGGAAATTAGGGAGGCTGCAAATCTAGGAATCAGTAGCATTTCCAAGGAGAGAAAAATAAAATAGAAATAAAGGTTGGTAAGGATATAGTTTAAAGGTACCCAGGAGAAATCCTCCTGGAGTTTTGAGTGATGATCCTTTCATGAACAGCAGGAGGTTGAGTAATATACTTGCATTTGCTATTTTGACTGTACATACTAACCTACCAGTATTTTGCATTCCAATAAAAGAAATGATGTTTAAATTATTTCTGTTAATTTTATTCTAAATATTCCAAGGAAATCAAAGAAATTCCATACCAGTGGTTCTTTCTGTAATATGCCAGGATTAATGTATTCGATTTTGAGTGCATAAATTAAGGTCTGCTAATTTGATTAGTTTTGTTTTAGCAAGGAAAATTGATACAATCCTTCACCAGGAAATGGTAGTTCAGTAATACCAATTGATGTTAATTTTCACTCATTTTGATTCTCAATATAAAGGTGAACTGAATATAAACAAAGAGTTTATCACTTAGGAATCAGTAAAAGTACTGTCTTAAAGATGCATTGAACCCCTGTAGGCAAGAGAGAGGTGGAGAGACAGAAAGAAACAGAGAGAGGGAGAGAGGAATGCAATATTTTGAATTGAAGAAACATTACCCAGTGCACTATATTTTACGTTTTAAATTATTTTGCTGAAGTAATTTCTCACTTTTTGTTCAAAAGTTACATACAGCCTTATTACTCCTTGTATACCCCTAAATTCTATCAAACAAGAATAGGTAACTTTTAGCATTAGTTTAGCACTTGAACACATATATACATTCAAGAGGGACATTAATTGAACTTGTTACTGTCGGAAGCTAGTCAAGCATGAGCAGTGCAGGAGAGGGCTCCCGAGGGTCAGGCGAACATCAGGTGATGGTCAGGTGGTTGTTAACTGTCTCTCTAAAATAATAATTGGTTGCAGCCAGCGCCAGGAAAAGGCATTCTCGCAATAGATAGAAAAAACCTGAAACTGGTGATCAGCAGCTTCCCAATAAGATCCCAGGAGTTGGGCCAGTGGGATCAAGCAGGCTAATTAAGAGACAAAATAGTGTTTATCTGGTCTATAATATTGTAGGGACATTTGACTCATAGGGGAAGAATGCCTCAAATGAGCATGCATATAACCCCAGTAAACACACTGCACGTTTCCCTCCCAAATGCTTGCAGGCCACTGCATATGTAAACAGCCTACCCCAAGGGAAGACTCAAGGGAGAAGGAATGCAAAGCCCCAGACGTATGTCAACATATAAAACCCAAGTCAAGGGTCAAACAGCATGCTTGATCTCTCAAGTTACCCGCTTGGCCCACTTCCAAGTGATTTTACTTCCTTTCATACATGATCTAAAGCTTTTTAATAAAATTTTGTTCCTGCTCTAAAACTTGTCTTGATCTCTCCTTCTGCCTTATGCCCCTTAGTCGAATTCTTTCTTCTGGGGAGGATAGAATTGAGGTTGCTGCAGATGCATATGGATTTGCCACTGGTAACGTACTTTAGTGTCTTCTGACTCGAATATGTTCCGCTGCTAACAGACTCATCATTACATTTAATAATGTGTGTATATAACTTCCATTGTGTTATTTATTTTTGAAGATTGCACTTAGATGTATAAGCGACATGTGTATGGTCCACTTTTACACAGCTTTTGTTCGTCCATTCAAAATATCTGCTAATTCCATAATAAACTTTCTATAAAAGAAAGTACATTTTAGGCTGGGCGCAGTGGCTTACGCCTGTAATCCCAGCACTTCGGAAGGCCGAGGCGGATGGATCACGAGGTCAGGAGATCGAGACCATCCTGGCTAACACGGTGAAACCCAGTCTCTACGAAAAATACAAAAAATTAGCCGGGCGTGGTGGCAGGCACCTGTAGTCCCAGCCACTCGGGAGGCTGAGGCAGGGGAATGGCATGAACCCGGGAGGTGGAGCTGGCAGTGAGCCAAGTGTCACGCCACTGCACTCCAGCCTGGGTGACAGAGTGAGACTCCGTCAAAAAAAAAAAAAAAAAAAAAAAAAAACAGAAAGTACATTTTAGTTAATCCAAGTCATTCTGGGTTTTAGAAATCTAATCTGGAAAAATCCCCAATAATATCTTTATTCTCCACTTGATTTCTATAGACAAAAGATTAGCAGTAAATAGTTTTAATTAAAAAATCATTGGGGAGTACAGTGATGGCATTAGAAGTTTCTAAGTAATGGAGAATATGGTGAGATACCTTCATGATTGAAGCTATAATATACATTTGATGCCAATTTGGGGGATTTGAGAATCAATGAATCCCCATTAACATCTGAAGAGGCAGTTGATGTAGTCAGTGAAAAATTGAGTGTGTATTTGTCTTTATTTTATACTGAAGACATCAAAAATTTAAATTATAAAAACTAGTTTTAATTTTCTCTTGTAATTTTAAAGCCTTTCAAATAGCAGGTGACTTTGAAAGTCATTCACTGTCACTGACAAGGACTACTGGGCATGATTTAAAAAAGTATGAATTTGGGGTTTAGAAGATGTGAGTTCAAGTCACTGATCTATTGCTTTTTTTTTTTTTTTTTTTTTTTTTTTTTGAGACAGAGTCTGGCTCTGTCCCCCAGGCTGGAGTGCAGTGGCACCATCTCGGCTCACTGTGAACTCTGCCTCCCGGGTTCACGCCATTCTCCTGCCTCAGCCTCCTGAGTAGCTGGGACTACAGGCGTCCGCCACCACACCCTGCTAATTTTTTTGTATTTTTAGTAGAGACAGGGTTTCGCCATGTTGGCCAGGATGGTCTCGAACTCCTGACCTCGTGATCCGCCCACCTCGGCCTCCCAAAAGTGCTAGGATTACAGGCTTGAGCCACCGCGCCCAGCCATGTTGCTTTCTTCTTCGTGACCTTGAGAAATCTTCTATTTTATTTTAAAAATAAAATCGGAAAAAAGATAAATTGTGCATAATAAAATATTTGAGAATACAATGCTATAATATTTCATAATTTATACAATATTTCCATACTGTTTTATTTTTGAATTTCAAAAATACGCACATATAAAATGTTGGAGAGATACGTAAAGTAAAAAAAGTAAAATTTTCCTTCTCTCCTACTTTCATTATTAAGCATTAGTTATAAAAATTGCAGAATAAAATTTTCCTGGGAACATACAGATTTTTAGTGATTGTTTTATTGTTGTGCCCTTCACGTTATGACATACTAAAACAAACACATGAAGTTTGACAACTTGATGTTTCCACTAAATTATATTTTGTGGACAGAATTCCTTCTAGAAACCAGTAGGAGATAGATATAAGCAGAACAAGTAGGAGACACATACAGAGAGATGACAGATATATAGATGATAGATAGATAGACATATATTGATTAATTGATAGCTGGTAGATGGATTAGACAAATAGGTAGATGATAGAGATTTCTTTTCTTTCTTTCTCTCTCTCTCTTTCATCCTTTCTTCTTCTCTTTCTTTCTTTTTTTTTGACGGAGTCTTGCTCTGTCGCCAGGCTGGAGTGCCGTGGCATAATCTCCGCTCACTGCAAACTCCACCTCCCGGGTTCAAGCGATTCTCTTGCCTCAGCCTTCCCAGTAGCTGGGGACCACAGGCGCACGCTACCACACCTGGCTAATTTTTGTATTTTTAATAGAGACGCGGTTTCACCATGTGGGCCAGGATGGTCTCAATCTCCTGACCTCATGATCCACCCGCCTCAGCCTCCCAAAGTGCTGGGATTACAGGCGTGAGCCACCATGCCCGGCAGATAGAGATTTTTTTCAAGAAATTGGCTTACGTATGGCTAATTTTTGTATTTTTAATAGAGACGTGGTTTCACCATGTTGGCCAGGATGGTCTCAATCTCCTGACCTCGTGATCCACCCGCCTCAGCCTCCCAAAGTGCTGGGATTACAGGCGTGAGCCACCGTGCCCGGCTGACAGAGATTTCTTTCAAGAAATTGGCTTACGTAACTGAGGGGATGGCTAAAACTTGGCTAAACAAGCCACCAGGAAGGGCAGGCTGGATCTCTCAGCTGAAGCTGCTGCTCATAGGTAGAATTTTTTCTTCTTCAGAGAAGGCTCACTTCTGCTCTCAAAAATTTTGCAACTGATTGAATCAGTTTCACCCAGATTATCTAAAATAATCTCCCTTCCTTAAATCATCTGATACAAATTTTAATCAAATCTACAAAATAATTTCACAGCAACAGCTACATTAGTGTTTGATTGAATAACTTAAATGGTAGCCTGGCTAAGATGACACATCAAAAAGACCATGAGAGAATTTGAGCCTTATTTGTCCAAAACATAAACCAACTGAGTAACACAGCCTTTGTTTGACTTTACTGCTTTGTTCTCCCCTGACACCCCAGTCTTCATCCGTAGGAGAATATCCTTACATAAACTACCTGCATTGCAAACAGTTGTTATAGAGTCTCATTTGGAAGATGGAGGGACAATTTGAGATCATTAATATCATAGCAGCCTTAGAAAGCAGACTGTCAAGACAGGATCTTGGAAATGGATCATCCAGAGGTCAGATAGTAATAAGGACTCCATTGATATTGATGGTAGGGGAGTACTAATAACCCCTGACAGGCAGAGATGTTAACATTGCTGAGAATCTCATTGGTGGAATATATCAGTGAGATTTGTATTAGTTTCCTGTGGCTGTCATAACAAGTTACCACAAACTTGGTGGCTTATAGCAACAGAAATTTATGATTTGACAGGTTCAGAGGCCAGGAGTCCAAAATCAACATATTGGCACAGCTGTGCTTTTTCTAAGGTCTCCAAGCTCCCTTTTGGTCTCTGGTGGCTACCAAGAATCCTTTGTGTACCTTGGCTTGTAACCTTCATTCACTTGACCTTCTCCTTTGAGTACATCTTATGTCCCAGCAACCAATGCTATTGTCTTATAAAGACACATATTATTCCATTTAAACTTCACACAGATGATCCAGCATAAACTCCTCAAGATCGTTAACTTGCTCATGTATTTTACCACATAAATCAATATTCACAGGATCAGGGGGTTAGGACATAGACGTATGTTTTAGGGACACATTGAACATACTACAGGGTAGAGAGTGAAACTATATATATACACATAGTGAAACTATATATATATATAGTGAAACTATATATATATATAGTGAAACTATATATATATATAGTGAAACTATATATATATACACATAGTGAAACTATATATATATACACATAGTGAAACTATATATATATACACATAGTGAAACTATATATATATAGTGAAACTATATATATATAGTGAAACTATATATATAGTGAAACTATATATATATAGTGAAACTATATATATAGTGAAACTATATATATATAGTGAAACTATATATATATAGTGAAACTATATATATATAGTGAAACTATATATATATAGTGAAACTATATATATAGTGAAACTATATATATATATAGTGAAACTATATATATAGTGAAACTATATATATATAGTGAAACTATATATATATAGTGAAACTATATATATATAGTGAAACTATATATATAGTGAAACTAGTGAAACTATATATATATAGTGAAAATATATATAGTGAAACTATATATAACTATATAACTATATAACTATATAGTTATATAGATATAGCTATATAACCATATAGTTATATAGATATAACTATATAACTATATAGTTATATCGATATAACTATAATGTAGGGATTACACTTGAAAGTTACAAGGATGAAGAAAATGGTAAGGACTAGAGTTGGAAAGCTTGAGATTGGGCTTAGAACCCCTGAAAGAGCAATATCAGATTAGCAAACTATCAATGCAAGCCACACTGTAGATTTCAGAATACCTCCATGGGACCACTTAAAGATCTCCTTGTCAACTATAGCTGCAAAGTACACTGTGCTAAAAATCAGGCTGAAATTTAATTGTAATGGTGACAGAGCTTCAAAAGACACCGAATGGACACATTCGCATATTTATGCCTAAGTCAGGACCTTGATGGAAACAAAGTAGAATGCTGATGTGTACAATACAGAAATTTTTGCCATTTAATTGACAGATGGTAGACAGATTATATAGACAGGTAGGTAGATAGATAGATGATAGATAAATAGATAGACAATCATCAAATATCCCTGATTTTACCAGCCAAAAGAAACAACTGTCTCTCTCTCGTTATAAGACAACCAGCTTGTATCACGTGGAAAACAAGCAAAGATCTCACCTGAAACAGTTGTTTCAAAGATTCTATTTGTCCACCTCAACACCTCTAATTTCAGGTTTATCTAAATTTTGTCTTAAATGGGATTAGATTGCTACAAAGTCCGATTAGAGAATAACCACAACTTGACTGTTTCCAAGGAGGTCCCAAATAAAACTGTTTTCATCAAGGTAATAATAAATGCACTGATGGGGGTACAGGAGGATATTTAAGAAGCTCCTTAGGCTAAGGTTTACAGTATGAGATATTGCCATGGAACTGGTGTCCCTTGTATGGATAGCATTGTTAGTATTTTCAAAACCCAGTGATTAAAAGACAGTACTTAATCATGAGAGGCAAAATAAAATTGATTAGCAAAATAGATTGTAAGGTTGGAGTAATAACCAGGATGTCTTGACCTACAGGGACCTAGACCAGAATGTTTCTAAGAAGTGACATGACCACCAACTAGAGTTTATTTAGTCAACTATAAGAAATACCAGCCTACTACCTTATTATCAAAAACCTTAATAAGTATCTTCTTTCAATAAATGTTAACTGAATTAATAAATAAAATGAGAGTGCATAAAAAGAAACCATAAATAAAAATTAATATTGAAATTGGTTTACTGCCTTATCTTTTTATGCTGAAAATTGTAGGGATGAGACCAGATATGAAGAGGTATTCCTGAAAATTAATATGTAACATGACTCTGAAGACTTTGTATAATTTGCACTTTGTACAATTTGCACTTTGTACAATTTTGAAGACTAGAGTTGCTTATTCTACATTTCTTCTCCTAATCACCCAAAGAGTTAGCCGATATCTATAAATATGAACCTGTACAATTTTGTGAACTTAGCTGTTGGCTGTTTAAGAAAAAATATGATGATAAAGAAATTTATTTTCTCAAAATTTACAAGAAATGAAACATTATAATGCTTTAATGTCATAAACTTAGAGGATGACTATTGCTGAGAAGAGGCTCTTTTCCTAAATTTGTAATGCATCTTAAATAGGTTTTCAATTACTCCTCAAAGTATAACAGTCACATTCAAAGAAAGCAAAAATGAGTCTAAGTAAGCATAATGTCCAGAAAAAATTTTCTACCAATGGATACAATTATGCAATTTTAAATGAAAATTACCTAAGCTTTCAGTAAACAATGATAATTTTCACATTTGAAAACAATCTATATTGCATGGTATGTTAATTTTCATCATTAATAAGAGGAGTATTATACTCTAATTATTTTTATAATTAAAGGAGTGGAATTTAAAATGTTAAATAATCTAAAACATGAGAGGCAGATTTCAAGTAGAATGTATTGTCATAATGCAAATTATCTATCATTAACAGAAGCTAACATGAATCTGTTGATGTATATTTAAAGTAGGTACTTTAATTTTTGAAATTAATTAATTAAATTTTGCATTAATGTTTTTTTAAATAAAAAACATGCTTATTAGGATTGTACTAGTAGCTTATTCTGAACAGGTTTATGGCCTCCTTTTGTGATTTTGGGCTCTTCTAGTCTACACTTCTTAGCAAACAATGAAGGGCTGATTCCACCAAGGTATACAATTATATTTTCCCTAAATTCAAATCTCATACTGCGATATTGCAATCAGCATTCCTCAATAGCTCTTTGAAAAAGAAATAAAATGTATATCATGCTGACCCTGAGTATTGGGGGGGGGAACTGATTTATAATAGAGATCTAAATGAAATTTATATTTATTGTATATTTTGGAGTGCTTCATAGTATTTCCATGCTTAAAGGAAAAGATTATTAGAAAGCAACTGCTACCTAACTCAAGCAGAGCCACCGAAGTTCTTGTAAGTTGTTCCTATGTAAAAAAAAATTATTCTCTTCTTCCTCATGGTGATATTATGTGAGGTTTATTGCTGATGAAAACTAGAAGAGTAGCCAGTGTCATCACTTAGTGGTACTAGACTAGGACAGCAATGTCTTCATGACATTTTCTCTTAAGACTCACTAGCAAGTTATGACTTTGTATTTTCCCTCACTGGAAAAGGAATACACCTGTTTATTATTTGTTTGTTGATGAAGAAAAGTTGCATGTTAGGTTGGAAGATTTCCTGTATTTGTTTGTATAAAAAGAAAGCTGTGAGCATGCAGTACTCTTTTTTCTTTTCTTTCTTTTTCTCTTATTAAAATTTCCTTCCATTAAAGATCTCTCTTTCCTCCACTTGTGTAAATTTTGGACAAAGATAACTACAGTATACTCAGCTCAAAAATGGTAGAGTAGATGACTAGTTGCACTCTCTTAACGTTCTCATGTGGAAATGTATAGTATGAACAGAGACACACAGAAAATTTACGGAAGAAGCATTATCTAACGTTATAAACATAAATAAAGATCTATAATGTCTTGCTACTGAAAGTTTTGAGTCTGCCTTATTGCCTCTTCTTCCTTCTAGTTAATCACATAATCCTTCAGTCTTGTGATAATATACCCTATATCCGCTGGGTTATTTCATTTTTGCTTTTGTTTTTTTGGAGATAAATATTTCTCTTATTTTCATTATTAGTTCAAAAATATCAGCTTTAATTTTCACAATCAGGACAAATAACAAGAAAATATTAGAGACATAAAAACTGAATAATACTTTTAAAGATTTAATGTTTTATATTAATTTTAGTATAGTGTGAAATAGAACAATTATAATTAACAGATCATATTATCTACTGACCACAAGCATATTTAGAATAAAACTAAGAAAAAACAAAATTATTCATTTTCAAGAAGATTTAAATAAAATTGTTAAATAGTGTATCAGTATACTAAAAAACCATCATTTTTAAACCAATTAACTTTAGAACACTTATATGTTACTAAGGAGCCAAATATAATATGGAAATATAGAACATGTCTGTTTGTATTTGTGTGTATAGAGAGAACATCAAGCCAAAGAAGAAAAAATTATTGAATATCCTATTTTTAGATTGAATTACAAACAATTTCTACTCTCTTATTTACAATTTTACATCCAAAAATATTTCCAAGTATTAAAATCAAGACCGTTTTCCTTTTCTTTAATTTTTAAGTCAGAAAGAAACTATGAAAGGTCTTAAATTTTACCCTTGTGTAGCTGGATGTGTACATAGATAGATAGATGATACAAAAGCATACATGCTAGCAGAAACATGTGGCCCGAGTCGGAAATCAGAATTTCATTTAGATACAGCAATAGGAGGGCAGAATAACATTCTAGCATTGGTGCTATCAGTTTCAACCTCATGTATTTTGATACTCTTGTTAAATGCATAATCATATAGGATTATTTTGTCTTCCCACCTTGATAAGCTTTCTTGTTTGTGTGTCTGACTTATCTGAAATTAGTATAGATAGATACTCCAGTTTTCTTTATTAGTGGTATGTTATATATTTCTTCATCCCTTTTCTTTCAACTTTATATCTAAAGTGATTTTCTTAAAGTCAGTATAGAGTCAATTCTTGTTTTTATAAATTCACTTCGACAATTTCTGACTTTTAATTGGTGTATTCAGATGTTTAACAGTTAAAGTGATTAATAATGATAATATCATTGGGTGAATATCTAAAATGATCATAACTTTTTTTATTCATTGCCCTTATTCTTTATTCACCCTATTTTTCTGCCTTGTCTAGGTTTAATTGAACATTTTACATTGACATTTTATCTTGCTCTTCACCCATGTGTCAAGATAAATAATATATATACTGTTTCATTGTTGTCCTGTGTTCATAACATACATTTATAGCCAATCTAAATCCATTTTGACTATGCCATCACCCTTCACATATAGTTCAGATAACTTTTTACAGAGTATTCACGGTTTCTGCTGTCCCTTATAACATTGCTAGTATTAATTTCCTCTATAGATGCTATGATCACACAATCCGTTATCATTATTTACTTAAACATTTATATTTAGATCAATTAATAAAAATACAGTATTTATTTACCTTCATTTACTTGTTATTTGGTGCTTTTCCATTTTTAAATGTAAGTTTAAGTTTCTATATTATTTTTCTTCTCTCTGAATAACTTCTTTTAAAATTTATTAAAAGGCGATTCTGCTAGCAACAAAATACACAAGTTTTGTTTGTCAGAAGAAGTCTCTATTTCTCCTTCATGTTTGTAGGATAATTTTACTGAATATAGAATTTAGTATTTTATTGCAAAACTTTTAACACTTTAAATATTTTACTCCAATTGCTTCTTGCTTGCATTGCTTATAAAGAGAGGGCCACTGGAATTTTAATCCTTATTTCATTATAGATAAGGAAGCTTTTCTCTGATATCCCTTACAAATTTCTCTTTATCTTTGGTTTTATGCACCTCGAATGTGATATGCCTTGGGGTTGGTGAGTGTATTTGTGTGTGTGTGCACACGTGTGTGTGTGTGTGTGTGTGTGTGTGTATTTATCCTACAAGGTATTGTCTAAACTTCCTGGATCTATGGTTTGATGTCTGTCATTAATACTGGAAAGTTATTGATGATTATTACTTTAAATATTTCTTCTGATCTGTTTTCTTTTTCTGCTATTGATATTCCAATTATTTTATGTTAAACTTTTTCATACTATTCCACAGCTTGTTAATGCTTTGTTCTGTGGTTTTCATTCTGTTTTCTTTGTGCATTGCAGTATGAGAAGTTTCTATTAATCTGTCTTCAAGTTTACTCATTCACTCCTTAGCTATGTTGAGTCTATTGATGTTTCCATAAGACATTTTTCATTTGTATTACTGTGTTTTAGAATTGTAACATTTCCTGATTATATCTTAGTTTCTATCTGTGTACTTACATTATTTATCTGTTCTTTCATTTTGTCTTTTTCCATTACAGTTAACATGTTAATTATAGTTATTTTAAATTTCCTGTCCAATAGTTCTAACATCTGTGTCAACCTTAGGCTGGTTCTATGAGTGCTTGTTTTCTTAGGTTGTGTTTTTTCTTGCCTTTTGGCATACTAGCAAATTTTTGGTTGAAAGTAGGGAATGGAAACTGAGGTAAATTAGGCCTTTAGAATGAGAATTTAAGTTAATCATGCTAGGAATTGGGCTATGTTTAATGTTTGTTGCAGCTTTTGTACCAGAGACTTCAAATTCTTTGGTGTTTTTATCTCCTGTCTTGATTTTTGGAATAAATATATACACACATATATTTATATGTCTGTGTGTGTGTACATGCATACACAGACATATATACACAGAGGAATACACATCTACTCATGTATGTAGGTATATACCTCATCATAGAGAGTATCTATTGTCCACCTGTTTCATCTAAATCCACTGTAATTATATTGGATCCCTGTTTGTGCGATGGCAAACTCACAGGGCAGGGGAGTGTTCTATAATCTGCTAATTAAGATTCAGCATTTGAGAGGCCTTTGTTTTATTGCTGTGACTTTCACAAGCTTTTTCTCAGTGTTACAGTGTTGACCCCATCTCCTACTTTCTGCCCTGGCTGAAAAGTTCCAACTCTACTTCCTGGAACCCCAGTACCTTTCTGACTGTTTCTTTTTTTTTTTTCTTTCTTGTTTTGTGAGTCCATGCTGGTGTGAGCTGGACTGGAGATCAGCTCTTTTTTCCAAGCTTGGATAAAGTTTTACAATTTTGCTTTCTGGAAGTACTTTTACCCAGAGAATAGTCCTTTGTTATAGAGAAGAATATGACTGTGTTTCACAGCAGTTATACTCCCTTTCCTCTTGCCAGAGTTAAGAGAAAATATTTTTGCATCTGCACAGTGAAAACTAAAAACTCCTGGGGTTCCTGGAAGATAGCCCATTAAAGCATGGCCCCTCTTCAAACGGTGGTCACATAGGTTTCTCACTTTCATATTGGTCTTATTCTATCTCCAATAATTGGTCAAAATAATTTTTTAATCCCAGTTCATGGGTCCAGTGGCTTCTGCATCAGACAAGCATATCTAAGTGACAATCTCTTTCTGGGTATGCTTGCCTCTCTTGTTTGGCTAGTTTACTATGCAATCTTTGTTCTTTAATATATCCAAGAAAAGTCATTGATTTTGAGTTTGTTCAGCTTTTCCTTATTGTAAGAATAGAAGTAGAAGCTTCCATGCTTTTCACAGGTTGGAGCTGAATGAAACTGGATGAGGCTGCATTTCTCCCTCAATTTTAAGACACTAACAACAAAATACTTTCCATAAACTTAAGTTGCTGTTTTTCTATCTCTATGAAATGTTCCGTTTATGCAAGCATTTAGAAGTGTTTGATAACACTCTCTCAGAAATTTCTCTCAATTCTACTCCGTTCCTCTGATATTGTTTATGAATATTATAAAATAGGTATGATACATGTATATAGTATACAAGCATATAAAAATCCTAATACATAATCTGCCCTTGAGAACAGTTTTGTTTTCTCCTCTGATTCTCACCCTGGATAAGTTCTTTGTAATGTACACATTGGTCTCCATCTCCAACTGCATTTTTTCAAACTGGTAGCACGTAAGAATTGCTCTGGAAGCTCTTAAAATACATTTGTGCCTGCTCCACTTTCATAAGTGACTGATTTTATTCACATTTTATAAATAAAATAACCAGAAACAACTTCTTTGTTTATGAAACTTTTAAGATGATGAAAACATGAAACAGGAGTGAAAAATCAGTTCTATATTTGAAATATTAAGCTTCCTCAAAATTAAAAGTTTTGTGCTTCAAAAGACACCATGAAAAGCTACAACACAAAAAGGTAAACTTGCAAATCATATATCTGTTAATCCACTTGCATCCTATTGGGAGAAAAGCCAAGTGTTGGGACAGAAGCTGAGGCAGGGCTTGGAACATGTCCAGGGTCCAGGGTAAAACCCCTCGTGGCCTTTGGAATGTGTCCAGACTTGCTGGCTCCTTGCTTCTAGCACTTCCATTATCTCAAGTAGCCATAGCTTTCAAAGAAAATGCTAAACCATCACAGCTGTAGCTCATTCACTTGATACACCACTTCCTTTCAACCCCCCACATCCTCACCACCTGTTTCTTTGTTTGATCACCAATAAATAGCATGGGCTCCCACAGCTCGGGGCCTTCACAGCCTCCATACTAGCGTTGGCCCCCTGGTCCACTTTCTCTCTTAACTTGTCTTTTCTCATTCTTTTGACTCCGCCAGACTTCATAGCCCCCACGGCCTGATGTTGGGTCTGATCACCCCAACACATCCAGAATATAGAAAGAACTATTACAAGTCAATAATAGGAAGACAAACAATGAATTTAAAAGTTGTACTAACGATATGAATAGACATTTCACCAAAAAAGACAGAATGGTCAATAAACAGTTGTAAGTTGCTCAACCTTATCCCTCATTAGAAAAAATGCAAATTAAAATCATAATAAAGTACACCTCAAACTTATTAGAATAGCTATCATAAAAAGGACAGACAATAATAAGATGTTGGCAATAACAAAGAGAAAGTGAAATCTTCATACACTGCTGATGGGAGTGTAAAATGGTTCAGCTGCTTTAGAACACAGTTTGGGAGTTTCTAAAATTTTTAAACATGCATTTATTCTATTACCCAGCAATTTCCCTCCTAGGTATCTATTCAAGATGAATGAAAGCATATGTTGACAAAAATATTTAGATGTGAATATTTAGATTAGCCTCATTGAAATACTCAAAAAGGGGAAATAAACTTAAGGCTCATCAATCAGAGAAGGAATAAATACAATGTGGCATATTCACAAAATAGAAAATTATTGAACAATAAAACATCAAAATACTAATGAAAGGTGACAGTGTGCTGGCAGTACTCACAGCCCTTGCTCGCTCTTGGTGCCTCCTCTGCCTGGGCTCCCACTTTGGCGGCACTTGAGGAGCCCTTCAGCTCGCCACTACACTGTGGGATCCCCTTCCTGGGCTGGCCTAGGCTGGAGCCCGCTCCCTCAGCTTGTGGGGAGTGTGGAGGGAGAGGCGCAGGCGGGAACGGGGGCTGTGCGCTGTGCTTGCGGGCCAGCACGAGTTCCGGGTGGGTGTGGGCTCGGGGAGCCCCACACTTGGAGCTGCTGGCCGGCCCTGCCGGCCCCGGGCAATGAGGGGCTTAGCACCTGGGCCAGCGGCTGCGGAGGGTGTGCTGGGTCCCCCAGCAGTGCCGGCCCACCGGTGCTGCGCTCGATTTCTCACCAGGCCTTGGCTGCCTTCCCGCGGGGCAGGGCTCCAGACCTGCAGCCCGCCATGCCTGCTCCTCCCCCCTCCCGCCTCCGTGGTCTCCTGTGCAGCCGTAGCCTCCCTGACGAGCGCCGCCCCCTGTTCCAGGCGCCCAGTCCCATGACCACCCAAGGGCTGAGGAGTGTGGGTGCACGGCGGCGCGGGACTGGCAGGCAGCTCCACCTGCAACCCCAGTGCGAGATCCACTGGGTGAAGCCAACCTGCTCGGGTCCCCTTCCACACTGTGGAAGCTTTGTTCTTTTGCTCTGTGCAATAAATCTTGCTACTGCTCACTCTTTGGGTCCACACTGCCTTTATGAGCTGTAACACTCACCGGGAAGGTCTGCAGCTTCACTCCTGAAGCCAGGGAGACAAAGAGCCCACCGGGAGGAAGGAACAACTCCAGACGCGCCGCCCTAAGAGCTGTAACACTCACCAGGAAGGTCGGCAGCTTCACTCCTGAGCCAGCGAGACCATGAACCCACCAGAAGGAAGAAACTCCGAACACATCCCAACATCAGAAGGAACGAACTCCGGACATGCCGCCTTTAAGAACTGTTAACACTCACCGCGAGGGTCTGCGGCTTCATTCTTGAAGTCAGTGAGACCAAGAACCCACCAATTCCAGGCACACTAATATGTGCTACCACATAAGTAAACCTGAAAGATATTGTTAATTGAACACAGCCACATGCAACGGACCACATATTTTATAATTTCATCTTTTTAAAATGCCCAGAAATGGCAAATCTATGGAGACAAAATAGATAGGATTGCCTGGGCAATAGGTGGGGAAGAACACTGACTGCATGAGGCACACAGGGTCATTTCAGGGTGAAGAAATGTTCTAAAATTAGATAGTTATGATGACTATGCAACACTAAATTCCCTAAAACTCTTGGAATCATACACTTAAAATAGACAAATTTAATATATGAAAGTTACATTTCAATAAAACTGTTAAAAACACTGATATAGAATGTGAAGAGGCAAATTTTAAACATTCACATAAAATAATGATATTCTCCTTACCTGGCAGAAAAATAGTTGTGCAATATAAAACTGCTATGTTCTAGGATTCACATATGAAAATATCAAGAGATACAACAAAAAATGTCACTATTATATTTTAACAATTGAAGATGAAATAATAAATTAATACAGTGTCCACTCTGAGTAGGCTGCACCATGGTCAAGCCATCATGACCTCTGTGATCCACACATACACATCCAGAAGGCTTCCTGGAGCCAGAAAGTCTAGGACAACAGAAAAACCTCAAAAGAAGCAAAAGAGCTAGCTCCCGTCTTAGCTGATTAGCCAACCTTGCAACATTGTACCATTGTAACATGCTCTACCCTAACTGATCAATCAACCTTGAGACATTGTGCCCTGTGACCCCTCCTGCTTTGTGACAATGTACCTTGTGACATTCTTCCCCTGCCTGCAATAAACAGCCCCTAACTGTAACTTTCCACTGCTTACCCCTAACCTATAAAACTAACTCCAATCCCACCACCCTCACTGACTCTCTTTTTGAACTCAGCCCGCTCACACCCGAGGGAATAAACAGCCTTGTTGCTCACACTTAGCCTGTTCAGATTATCTCTTCATTTAGACGCACGCATAACACGCTGTTTCTTCTTCTTTGGTCTGTGAGACCCAAGTGACTCTGCCACAGCCACTATTGCCCTGTGACCTGCAGGACTCAATGGCTTTTGAAGATATGGCTGCAATCCTCACCCAGGAGGAGTGGGCTTTGCTGGATACTACCCACAAGAATTTCTATAGAGACATATTTCAGGAAACCTTTAGGAATCTGGCATTTATAGTAAAGAAACAACAACAACAACAAAATACCAGAGCATTTGAAGATGAGCAAAAAAATGGACAAGGAGTTCCCAAAGCTGATATAGCACATTGACAAATCAAAAATACGAAACAAAGCCAGTTGACTGAATCCACCTTCTACCACAGTCAAACCCTCAAAGGCATCTAAGAATATGAAAGCAAAAACACATCCAAAGAATAGCAACTACAAAGATTAAAGAAACATTAGCCCCCACAGGTGAGAAAGAACCAGTGCAAGAATGCTGGCAACACAAAAAGCCAGAGTGTCTTCTTACCTCCAAACAACTGCACTAGTTCCCAAGCAGTGATTTTTAACTAGGCTGAAATGGCTGAAATGACAAACATAGAATTCAGAATCTGGACACAAATGAAGATCATTGAGAATTAGGAGAAAGTTACAATCCAATCTAATGAATGTAAGGAATCCAATAAAATAATACCATACATAAATGATGAAAAGGCCATTTTAAGAAAGAATCAAATTGATCTGATATAGGTTAAAAAAAAAAGTCACTAAAAGAATTTTATAATACAATCACAAGTATTAACAGCAAAATAGACTAAGCTGAGGAAGAAATTTCAGAGCTCAAAGACCATTTTTGAAGTCCTTTGAATCAATTCACACAAAAATAAAGAAAAAATAATAATAAAGAATGAACAGGCCGGGAGTGGTGGCTCATGCCTGTAATACCAGCACTTTGGGAGGCCGAGGCAGGCAGATCACCTGAGGTCAGGATTTCGAGACCAGCCTGGCCAACATGGCAAAACCTGGTCTCTACTAAAAACACAAGAATTCACCAGGCATGGTGGCATGCACCTGTAATCCCAGCTACTTGGATGGGTGAGGCAGGAGGATTGCCTGAACCTGGGAGGCAGAGGTTGCAGTGAGCCGAGATTGTGCCATTGCACTCCAGCCTGGGCAACAGAGTGAGACTCTGTCTCAAAAATAAAACAAAAACAAAAAAACAAAGGATGAAAAAAACCTCTAAGAAATATGAGATTATGTAAACAGATTAAACCTATGACTCATTGCCATATCTGTGGCAGAGAGAAAGTGGAGAGAGAGCAAGCAAATTGGAAAACATAATTGAATATATTGCCCACAAAAATTTGTCCAATGTCAAAAGAGAGGCCAATATTCAAATGCAGAGAACCCATCTGAGATACTATAAAAAGACGACTATCCCTAAGACACAAAATCATTGGATTCTCTAAGGTCAACGTGAAAGAAAAAATGCTAAAGGCTGCTAGAGAGAAGAGACAAGTCAACAACAAAAAGAACCCCATCAGACTTATAGCAGACCTTTCAGCAGAAATCCTACAAGCCAGAAGAGATTAGGGGCCAATATTCATCTTTCTTAAAGAAAAAAATTTCTAACCAAGAATTTCATATACAGCCAGACTAAGCTTCATAAGCAAATATATAAGATACCTTTTAGAAAAGCACATACTAAGGCAATTTCTTACCACTGAACTTATCTTAAAAGAGGTCCTTAAGGGAGTGATTAACATGGAAACAAAATACTGTTACTGGCCACCATAAAAACACGGTTAAGTAAACAGACTATTGGCACAATAAACAACTACACAATCATGTCTGGAAAACAACCAGCTAACAATACAATGACAGGATTAAATCCACACACATCAATATTTATCTTGAGCATGAAGGGGCTAAATACCCCATTTAAAAGGCATAGAGTAGCCAGTTGAATAAAGAAGCAAGTCTCAACTGTATACTATCTTCAACAGACCCATCTCACATGCACGGACACATATAGGGTCAAAGTAAAGGAATGGAGAAAGATCCATCGAGCAAATGGAAAAAAAAAAAGAGAGAGAAAAGAGTTGCTTTTTTTTTTTTTTTTTTGAGACAGAGTTTCTCTCTTGTTGCCCAGGCTGGAGTGCAGTGGTGCAGTCTCGGCTCACTGCAACCTTCACCTCCCAGGTTCAAGATATTCTCCTCCCTTAGCCTCCTGAGTAGTTGGGATTACAGGTACCCACCACCACGCCTGGCTAGTTTTTTGTGTTTTTAGTAGAGACGGGGTTTCATCATGTTGGCCAGGCTGGTCTCGAACTCCTGACCTCAGGTGACCCGCCTTCCTCGGCCTCCCAAAGTGCTGGCATTATAGGTGTGAGCCACCATTCCCGACCACTATTCTTTTTTTTTCTTTTTGGAGATGGAGTCTTGCTCTGTCACCCAGGCTGGAGTGCAGTGGCAGGATTCCGACTCACTGCAAGTCCCGCCTCCTGGGTTCATGCCATTCTCCTGCCTCGCCCTCCCGAGTAGCTGGGACTACAGGCGCCTGCTACCATGCTCAGCTAATTTTTGTATTTTTAGTAGAGATGGGGTTTCACAGTGTTAGCCAGGATGGTCTCGATCTCCTGACCTCATGATCCACCTGCCTCGGCCTCCCAAAGTGCTGGGATTACAGGTGTGAGCCGCCATGCCTCGCCCTGACCACTATTCTTATTTCAGACAAAATATACTTTAAACCAACAATGATCAAAGAGGTAAATACGGGCATTACATAAGGAAAAAGTCTTCAACAGGAAGACTTAACTGCCCTAAACATAATATGCAACCAAACCTGGAGTGCTGAGATTTATATAACGAACTATTAGAGAATTACAGAGAGACTTAGATAACCACAAAATAATAATGGGAGACTTCAACGTCCCTCTGACAGTATTGGAGAGAACACTGTGGCAGAATACTGACAAAGTTATTTGTGACCTAAACTTGCCACTTGACCAAATTAACCTAACAAACATCTGCAGAACTCTACCAAACAACAACAGAAGATACATGTTTCTGGTCCTCACATGACACGTACTCTAAAATTGAACATATGCTCAGTCGTAAATCAATTGTGAACAAGTTAAAAAAAACATATGAACTTCACACTAAAAGAACAGAGCAATGAAAATAGAAATCAATATTAATGAGATATATCAGAACCATACAATTTAAGGAAAATTAAACAATCTGCTCCTGAAGGACTTTTGAGTAAAAAAATAAAATTAAGGCAGAAATAAAAAATTCTTTAAAACTAATGAAAACAAAGATACAACATACCAGAATCTCTATGAAACAGCTAAAGCAGTGTTAAAAGGAAAGCTTTTATTACTATACATGCACATCAAAAAGTTAGAAAGATTTCAAATTAACAATCTAACACCCAGAGAAACTGGAAAAACGAGCAAAACTGCCCCAAAGTAAGTGAATATGGTTTGGCTCCATCTCCCCACTGAAATGTCATCTTAAATTGTAATTCTTAATGTTGGCGGAGATACCTGGTAGGAGGAGATTAAATCATGTTGGCAGATTTCTCCCCTTCCCATTCTCCTGATGGCGTGTGAGGTCTCATAAGATCTGATGGTTTAAAAGTGTGTGGCACTTCCTGCTTTGCTCTCCCGCTTCTGCCACCATGTGAAGAAGGTGCTTGCTTCCCCTTAGCCCATCCACCAAAATTTTAAGTTTCCTGAGGCCATGAGCTGTTTGAAAGTCTTTTCTTCATAAATGATTCAGTCTTAGATATGTTTTTATAGCAGTGTGAAAATGGACTAATACAGAAAATTAGAACTGAGAAAGTAGGGCATTGTTATAAAGACACCTGAAAATGTGGAAGCAACTTTAGAACTAGGTAATGGACAGAGGTTGGAAGAATTTGGAAGACTCAGAAGAATACAAGAAGATGAGGGAAACTTTGGAACTTCCTAGACAATTGTTGAATGGTTTTGAACAAAATGCTGATAGTGATATGGACAATAAAGTCCGGGATGAGGAGGTGTCAGATGAAGATTAGGAACCTATTGGGAACTGGAGTAATGATCACTCTTGCTATGCTTTAGCAAAGAGACTGGTGACAATGTGTCCCTGCTCTAGAGATTTGTGGAACTTTAAACTTCAGAGAGATTATTTAAGGTATTTGGCAGAAGAAATTCCTAAGCAGCAAAGCATTCAAGATGTGGCATGGCTGCTTCTAAAAGCCTATGCTCGTTTGCATAAACAAAGAGAACTTGTATTTAAAAAGGAAGCAGGGCATAAAAGTTTGGAAAATTTGCAGCTCAACCATGTGGTGGAAAAGAAAAATCCCTTTTCTGGGGAGGAATTAAAGGCTGCAGAAATTTGCATAAGTTAAGAATAGTCTAAAGTTAATAACCAAGACAATGGGGAAAATACCTCCAGGGCATTTCAGAGGCCTTCACAGTAGCCCTTTGCATCACAGGCTCAGACGCACAGGAGGGAAAAATTGTTTTGTGGACCTGGCATAGGGCCCCGCTGCTCTGTGCAGCCTTGGGTCATGGCACCCTGTGTCCCAGCCACTCCAGCCCCAGCCATGGCAAAAAAAGGTCGAAGTACATCTTGGGCCATTGCTTCAGAGAACACAAAACCCAACCCTTGGTAGCTTCCAAATGATGTTGGGCCTGAGGCTACCCAGAAGGTAAGAGTTGAGGTTTGGGAACCTCACCTAGATTTCAGAGGATGTATGGAAACACCTAGACGTCCAGGCAAAAGTCTCCTGCAGGGGCAGAGCCATCATGGAGAACCTCTACTAAGGCAGTGTGGAGGAGAAATGCAGGGTTCATGTCCCCACACAGAGTCCCTATTGGGGCAATGCCTAGTGTAGCTGTGAGAAGAGGGCCACCATAATCCAGAACCCAGAATGGTAGATCCACTTGCAGCTTGGACTATGCACCTGGAAAAGCCATACCCGTCAATGCCAACCCGTGAAAGTAGCCATGGTGTCCATAACCTGTAGAGTCATAGGCACAGAGATGCCCAAGGCATTGGGAACCCACCCCTTACATCAGCATGCCCTAGATGTGAGACATGAAGTCAAAGGATATTACTTGGGAACTTTGTAAGATTTAATGACTGCCCTGCTGGGGTTTCAGACTTTCATGGGGTCTGTAGTCCCTTTGTTTTGGCCAATTTCTCCCTTTGGAATGGGAGTATTTACCTAATGCCTGTACCCCCATTGTATCTTTGAAGTAACTGACTCATTTTTGATTTTACAGTCTCATAGGCAAAAGGGACTTGCCTTTTCTCAGATGAGACTTTGGACTTGGACTTTTGAGTTAATGCTGGAATGAGTTAAGACCTCGGGGGACTGCTGGGAAGGCATGAGTGTGTTTTGAAATGTGAGAAGGACACGAAATTTGGGAGGAGCCGGGGCAGAATAATATGGTTTGGCTCTGTGTCCCCACTCAAATCTCATTTCGAATTTTGTCAGGGGAGGCGCCTGGTGGGAAGTGATGGATCATGGGGGGCAGATTTCCCCTTTGCTGTTCTTGTGATAGTGAGTGAGCTCTCATGAAATCTGATGGCTTAAAGTGTGTGGAACTTCCCCCTTTGCTATCTCTCTCCTGCCACAATGTGAAAAAGCTTCTTGCTTCCCCTTCAGTCGGACATGTAAAAGATTGTCATAAAAAGCTACTTAACATGTATCTTGAAATGTAGCTGAAAACTATTTTTTTACATGTTCCATCTAATATGTAGTTTTATGAACAAGTTTCTAGTAGATATTATTTTCCTAGGACTACTATAACAAATTACTATGTGTGGCTTAAACAAACAGATATTTATTCTTCAGCAGTTCTGGAGACTGGCAGTCCAAAATCTCAAAGTCAATAGGACCATGCTCTCTATGAAGGCTCTAAGGGTCTTTTTTTTTTTTTTTTTTTTTTTTTTTTTTGCCTCTTTTTAGCTTCTTGTGGTACTGGCAATCCCTAGCATTCTTTAGCTGTCAGTCACATCGCATCATTCCAGCCTTTGCTATCACGTGGCCTTCTTCCCTCTGTGTTTTAACGTTGTCTTCCCTCTGTGCATCTGTGTATTCAAGTTTTCCTGTTCTTAAAAGAACATTAGTAATTAGATTCGGGTCCTCCCTAAACAGGTATGACAATTTTAACCTGATTACATCTGCAAAGACTCAATTTCTAAATTAGATCACATTCATAGGTCTTGGCAGTTAGTACTACAATTTATCTTTTAGGGATAATCCAACCCACAATACAGATTAAGGAATAATCATATAAAATCTGACTTGAAAAACAAATTGCTAGTTCTATCACCAGCTAACATAAATGGAATTATTGTGATGAAAATAATTTCCTATAGGTTTTTTTGAAGTGAGCTTTCTTATTAAACTTTAAAATATATTTGAGACATTAATATTTGATTTATCCCAATGCATATGTACATTTCCTAAGGATTGTTTTGTGTCCCACATTAGGAGTTTTAAATCTCTACTTATATAAAATAATAAGAAATGACTCCAGTATAATATCTAAATTATTTACAATTATATAATATCAGTATTTCTGAAAACACTTAAGAAACAGAATTTTAGAACAATGTTTATATATATTTTATATATAGATATAGCATAAATGTAAATTACAAAAATGAAACCAGGAATTCAAATGCTCTTAATTTTTCCATGTTTTTAATGTATATTTACTGTCAACTAGTAAATATTTTGATTATAAATACATGTATAAAATACAATATAGTTAATTTGACAGATAGAAATTAGTTTGCTCAACGTTTGGTATTTAAAAGTCCAATGCAACTCCTGTTGGGCTCCTAATATAGCTTAGTTTTCAAATTATGAATACAAAGTTCTCTAGATAATTTATTCCAAATTATTCAGAGGAAAGTAATATATTTTCATTTGATTTTTTAAATGTATAAGTCATAATTCTACATATACTGAATTATTGTAGGTTGGACAATGATACTTGCTTAAGGATATTATAAATTAGGCAGTTTAAAAAAATCAGAGTGATAGATTTACATAACATGAAAACAATCTCTGATTGAGTTCAAATTAGTTTTAAAATGTTAACACATTTCCTTATTTGAAAAAAGTCAATTCATGTATATTAATTACAATTTTTGATCCCTTTAATAAAGAGTACTTGAAGCATGTTCACCATTCCATATCTTTTCTAGGTTATTGAAATTGCAATTGATGAAACAGCTGACAAACATTGGAAGGGTTTAAACTTGTATCATATTTATCAGTTAGAAAATAAACTTCCATTTTTGAAGTGGCTGATTTAAATCTGATTGACAAAAGGTATGTATTTTTCATAAGTGTTGTGATTTTTCAACGTCGGTCTCTTCAAGTCTAATGACATATGTCAAATTATAAACGAATACGTTTTGTAATGAAACACATCAGGGACAGAAGCTCAGGACAAATCACCACTGCCGTTAGAACTTCAATTTAACAGATTTTCTCACTAAAGAGGCAGACAGACATATGCATATGCTTGTCTGCACACACATAGCTGATTTGGTAGTTTTTAACGTAGACCTCATTCAAAACAGACAACTATATTTTTCCCAGAGATACAGTGAAATTTTGGTTGTATTTTCAGATTGCCCCCAAAGAGTTCTAACACATCTTTTATATAATCCAGAACTGTTATTAATTCAGTCACCTTTCTAGCAGAACTTGTTTTCTAAAGTCAACATCGATGGCTTATATTCCAAGATCATTCAGTTTTGAAGAATTCTTATGTAATATCAATGGGTATTGTGTGTCAATTTATACCATTCAGTTTCTTGGACACCTGCTGGAACTTGGCACAAATCTCTCTTTGTTGAATAACATTTGCTTTATTTGTTGCTGAATATGTTTTTTAGATAATTGTGGACATATAAATGGTTTTATTATTTATTTATTTATTTATTTATTCGAGATGGAGACTCTGTCGCCCAGGCTGGAGTGCAGTGGCGCGATCCCCGCTCACTGCAAGCTCCACCTCCCGGGTTCACGCCATTCTCCTGCCTCAGCCTCCCGAGCAGCTAGGACTACAGGCGTCCGCCAACACACCCGGCTAATTTTTTGTATTTTTTAATAGAGATGGAGTTTCACCATGTTAGCCAGGATGGTCTCGATCTCCTGACCTTGCGATCCGCCCGCCTCGGCCTCCCAAAGTGCTGGGATTACAGGCGTGAGCCACCGTGCCTGGCCATATAAATGTTTTTAAATTCAATAAAGGCCATTTGTTTTTAAGTAGTAGTATTAAAAACAAACGCCAACAAACAGAAAACTGGAAAGAATAGAAAGCTGAAACAGACCCACACATATATGGGCATCTGGTTTGTGACAACAGTGGTACTGGAAAAAGCCTTTTCAATAAATATTGATGGGTAACATAAATTTTCATATGGAGTAAGACAAATAATCTTGCTCCCTTATTCCACACTACTAGCATAATATTGTCACTCCTTTGCTATGACCTGCTCCAGTTTACCACAAATATATCTTTGAACCAGCATTTTTATTCCTAGATATATGTTCAACAAAAATACATGTACATAGGCAGTGAAAATCATACCTTACAATGTTCACATCTGCATTGTTCGTAATAACTCCACAATGAAAACAACCCAAATGCCTACTGTCTTGTAAGAAATTTAAATGGGTTACTTGAAATGCGTATTTTTTTGATGGTCAAAATTGTTAATTTGTGCAAATACAAAATAACACCATGGAGAGGCATATGAAAATGAAAGAGATATATTATCCTCATAGGTCTAGAAGAGGGAGGTCCCACATGGTACACAAGGGGTCATGAAGGAAGAGGAGGTCAACCAAGTATCTGAGGAGCCCAGAGATAGAGTAAGGGCCTATGGTTGAGTAACTGTATTGGGAGTCGGGGGAAGTACAAAAGCAAAAGGCATGTGGGGAATTTACTGGTGCATTTGAATGTCAGTAGGTAACAGTCAGGAGATGGGAGGAAGGGAAGTTTGTGGCAGAGATGGACTTTATCACACTGATATGCCTGGCAGCCTGGACAGAGTGTTCGTCAGCCTGTTGGTGCAGATATTGAGGCATCAGGAAAATATGAAGTACAAAAAAATTAGAATGCATCTGCCAATATGAAATAGAGAAATTAATAAACTTGGAATTATACACAGCAATGAAAATGAACAAATGCCATACATAAAAATATATATCACATGCAAAACAAAGAATGTAACCTGTTTGATTGTGTCTATATTCATTTCTAAATTAAACTTAAAAAAAAAGACAGTGGTACATTTGAGAAAGAGGAAAAGGTGGTGATTTCTTCAGTATAAGAGGTGCTTCTAGAATGCTAGAAATATTCTACAGTATTGGTCATATTATATATTCTGTATTTGGTGATGGTTTAACTTGTGATAATGCAATAAGCTATAAATTATAATGTGTACTTATATGTACTATGTTCTCATGATAAAGTATTTTTAAGCACAGATAATATTCTAATAATATTTTAGCTTCCCTAATAGAGTAAAAATTTTAAAAATTGTTTTTTTCTTATTAACCTGTTTGAATATTTTTATCACGTGTTGGTTATTACATATCAGTTTTCTTATAAAGAAAATGAAAAACTTGACAAAATATAGACAATACCAATTAAAATGCTTCTAAAAATTGAGAAAGTTATGCTGATGTAGGAGGAAATGGCTATAAGATAGAATATAATAATAGAAATGCATGCAAAGACACACACTTAAAAAATATCTAAGTAAAGTAACGCGTGGCATAAAATGTAGCAAGAACATCTGAACATTTTATTCCATTCAAGAGACTGTGCAAACATGACACCTGAAAGAAGTTTCACAGCCATGAGAGCTAAATCTACAAACTATGAAAGTGTGTGGTAGAATATTTCCATAGAAATTGCTTACAATTCAAATGGGCATAAATCATATTAAACATTTTTCAATGTGCATATATTTCTCAGAGATAAATGGCCTTTTTTTCTTGTTGGAACAATGCATGTTTTCATTTAAAAATAATGAGAGAAAGATCTGATTTATTGATTAAAGTCGTTTGATTTACTCAGAATTTATCAACAAGATGAAGTATTTACATTAGCCTTATAGAATCATAATGCTTTAAATCTAGAATCTTAAAGCTCATATATTTCAAATCTCTCACTTTACAGATTTGCAAATTAAAATCTTTTGAAGTTAAATGAGGGAGTCATGATAGCAAGAGAGAACTTGTACTCTCATGAAGCAAGCCAAAATAATATTTCTGTTTGTAGAAAGTAATCTTTCTCACGTATTATTACACACACACACACACACACACATAAAATTTAGAAATTATTAGCAAATAAAATAAATTCTGTTCAAATATGTTTGAGAAATCTGTATTCTATAGCACCCTCCTAAATATTAACCATGGTTATTGTTATTCATTGATCACACAATAGACTTTAAAGGATCAGAAAAGTTATATAGTTAAAAAGAAAACAATCAACCCAGATTTTTCGTCGGTTATTTGGCCACAGAACACAACCACCTCCGTAACCCTTGCAAGATAGGTGTTAAAGATGAATTCCTCAATTTATGATTGATTGGGGCTGAAATACAATGGTCAGACACTTCTAAGTCCCCTGAGATTTCTCCATCCATACCAAAGAGGATAAACATGGGAAAATAAAGAAGGAGAATAAGGCATGCTGGTGAAAAAGATAGGAAGGCAATAATTTGTCTTAATATCTACCAAGTTAAATGTGAAAATTACAAACAATGAAAATAAGGAATTGGTTCTTGTGATATAAAGTCTGAAAAGTCCCAATATCTTCTGTTGGCGACCTGGAAACCAAGGAGAACTGATGTTGTAAGTTCCAGTCCCAAAGCCAGCAGGCTCAAAATCCCAAAAGAGCTGATATCCCAGGTCAATCAGGCAAGCAGAAGGAGTTTCCTTTTACAGTGTTTTTTTGTTATATTCAATTCTTAATTTGATCGGATGATATCCATTCACATGAGGGAGGTCAATCTGCTTTACTCGTCTAATGATTTGAATGTCAATCTCATCTAAAAACATGTCATAGACACACCTAGAATAATGTTTGCCCAAATGTCTGAGCACCCTATGGTCCAGTCAAATTGACACATAGAAGTAATCATCAAAGAAACTCCCTACATTTGTTATTTTTTTCCCTTAGAGATTATTGTCCTGTTTTTAGTTTGCCCTCGTTACCAAAGTAACGATTGGATTTTGGAATTCATCAAAGACTTTTCATGAAATTGTGTTTTCATAGAAGGAGTATGTGATTCTGCTTTGTAAAATTAAAAATAGCAAACACATATATGCATCCATTCAACAAATTATTAATGATTACTTATCCTGTGCATCGACTCTCAGTTACAAAGACAAATATGCAAAAATTATTCCTGTCCTCTTTCAAACACGGAAAAGAAGGTTTGTAAGTAAAATAAATGCTATTCATTTGGAATATGCTGGTATACAATGAGACAAGTTTTATAGAAACAGAATTTTAAAAGTCAAAGCAGAGTGACTGCAAGGAGAAACAAGTGGATCAAAAATCATTTACATAAAAAAGGTTTATTTTCTTTTATCTCCCCTAACCCCTTGTCTTATTTTTTTGTTATTGTTAAAACAGCAACAGGAGTCTGTGAGTCTGAGAGGAGAATGGAAGATATATTGCATTTCGGTGCTACAGATATTTATCAATACATAAAGACAAAAAAAACAACAACCAGACTTTGTTCAGTGAACTATTCTTTTTCTTGCTGTATTTACATTTATACAAGAAAAATAATTCCACTATTGCCATTGTATTTCTTCATTCTCTTAAAAAAAACAGTACTATAAGGCTTGTCAGTATTGGGTATTAAAATAAGAAAAATCAGAGTGAATCGTGAAAGTAGGAAAGAACTGAAGAACAATTTTACATAGTTTCAGCTCTTACAAATGATTATATTGATTATATTGGATCCAATCTTGATCTCTATGTGTGAAATAATAAAGAAATGTTGGAATAAGATACATTTCTATTTAGATATGTAAAAAACTTACTGAAACAAATAGCAAATTTGTCAGAATTGAGTTAGGATAACAGCAATCAATTTTTAAAATTTTTCAAAGAACATGGTGAAGATATTCTCAGTATTAATTTCTTTTAAGAATTAAAAATAGCCAAATTTAAATACCGTATTAATTTATGCTGTCTCAAATTCTAATCACTATTTTGTCTAAATCTGTTTTTATGAAGTATTCTAGCACGTTTTTAATAAAATAGAATACTAGGGTATATTTTAAATGAGATCATGATTAATTAAATATTCTCAACTTATTTGACAAAGAAATCAAATATGTTATTTTATGCAAACTAAAATTAATTACTAATTACTATGGTATGATTTATTGAGCAGAGTTTATATTTGAAAATGTTTTAAAAATGTTTAATAATTACTTAATATTTGAGAACTCTAAAAATGAGAAGAAACACTGTTATCCATAGAATGAGAAAATTACTAAGCAAGAAAGCATTATAGCTTATATAAAACACTTTTTGAGAACAACAAACTCAACTAATAAAACAAAGGTGATAGGGTCGTGTCCTCACCCAAATCTCACCCCATAATCCCCACGTGTCATGGGAGGGATCCAGTGGGAAGTAATTTAATCATGGGGGCAGTCACCCTCATGGTGTTCTCATGATAGTGAGTGAGTTTGTACGAGATCTGATGGTTTTTTAAGAGGATTTTCCACCTTTGCTCAGCACTCCTTCCTGCTAACATGTGAAGAAGGATGTGTTTGTTTTCCTTCCGCCATGAATGTAAGTTTCTTGAGGGCTCCCTAGCCCTACAGAACTGTGAGTCAATTAAACTTCTTTCCTTATAAATTACCCAGTCTTGAGAATTTCTTCACAGCAGCATAAAAACAGACCAATACAAAGGCTTAGTGTGATTTTGTCACAGGATCCTTGGGGTGTCACTTTTCTATCTGGAAGCCTCTTTGGCTGGTGGAGAAAGTTTGTGCTGATTGGTCCATGGGCGGCCATGGACAGGCCTAGAAAAAGCACCATAAGTCCTCGCTCTGGTCCGTGGAACTGACAACCCAGGCTTCCATGCTTCAGGCCATCCCCAGCTTGAAGGTGAGGCTTACTAGGGACCCACTCATTTCCACGCAGGAGCCTGTCTGCCTCCTGTCACCATCAACCTGCTGTGGACGGCGCCCACAGCTGTTAATGCTGAGAAGTCACTACAGGCAATGCCGAGCTGTCCTCAGCTCCCCCTTGGACTCTTTCCCATGCTCGTTGGTGCCCAAAGTCTGGAAGGGGTTGAGGAGGCAGAGTCCCTACTGGGGTGCTGCTTCCTAGTGGAGCTGTGAGAAGATGGCCACCATCTTCCAGATCCCAGAATGGTAGATCCATTGAGAGCTTGCACCATGCACCTGGAAAAGCCACAGACACTCAATGCCAGCCTGTGAAAGTAGCTGGGATGGAGGTTATACCCTGCAAAGCCACAGGGGCAAACCTGCCTAAGGCCATGGGAACCCACTTCTTGCATCAGCATGACCTGGATGTGAGACATTCATTCAAAGGAGATCACTTTGGAGCTTTAAGATTTGACTGTCCTTCTGGATTTCAAACTTGCATGGGCCCTGTAGTTCCTTTGTTTTGGCCAATTTCTCCCATTTGGAATGAGTGTATTTACCCTAAGCCTGTACCCCCATTGTATCTAGGAGGTAACTACTTTGCTTTTGATTTTACTAGCACATAGGCAGAAGAGACTTGCCTTGTCTCAGATGAGACTTTGGACTGTGAACTTTTGAGTTAATGCTGAAATGAGTTAAGACTTTGGGGGACTGTTCAGAGGCATGATTGGTTTTGAAATGTGAGGAAATGAGATTTGGGCGGGCCCGGGGGTGGAATGATACAGTTTGGCTGTGTCCCCATCCAAAATCTCATCTTGAATTGTAACTTCCACAATTCGCATGTGTCATGAAGGGACTTGGTGGGAGGTAATTGAATCATGGGGATGGATCTTTCCTGTGCTGTTCTCTTGATAGTGAATAAGTCTCATGGGATCTGAGAGTTTTAAAAACAGGAGTTTCCTTGGGCAAGCTCTCTTCTCTTGTCTGCTGCCATGTGAGACATGCCTTTCACCGTCTGCCACGATTGTGAGGGCTTCCCAGTATATGGAACTTTAAGTCCATTAAAACTCTTTTTGTTGTAAATTGCCCAGTCTCAAGTATGTCTTTATCAGCAACGTGAGAACAGACTAATACAGGAGACTAATATTTAAATAGTAAGATTTCAAGAAAGAGTGGAAATAAATAATAGAATTAAACACTCTTGAAATAAAAAGCACAGAAAGAAAAGAAGACCTGAATTTTCCAAATAAAAACATTCATCAACTTGTAGGTTGGATTGATAATAATAACAAAATGATTATAATAGTAAGAACAATAATCATAATTTTAAAGACAATGCACTTATATAGCACTTACCATGTGTCAGGCATTGTTCTAAGTATTTGTAATATATTAACTCATTTAACCTTTACCATCACCCTGTGATTTAGATACTATTTTACATTTGAAGAATCTAAGGCATAGACAAATAATCTGTCCAAGTGGCTGAATTAGAGTTAATGTTCTCAACGTTTTACTGCTGCATGAAGCACTCCTATGCATAGCTAGGAGTATTTTGGAATGCTAAGGTTAAAGACAAACCCTGGGAGAGCAGGAATCTCCAAAGAAAAAATAATTAGACATACATTACATTCTTAACTATAACACTGTAAGCTAAAAGGCAGTAAGTTAGATATCATTTCAGATAGCTTTATAAAAGATGACTGTGGTTACACAAGAATTAAGAGTGTTTCATACTCTGAATCAAATAGTGGAGAAAAGTCTAATCAATTAAAATGAAACAGCACAGAGATGTATAGGTCAAGATAAAGAGGAATTAGAAACATGTATAGTGCTAAAGAGGATAAAGATAAGGAGGATAAAGTTTCATGAGCAATGAAACTTACAACATATATAATTCAATTTACAGTTGAATACACATATAAACAGTTAGTAGGTTAAAATTCTTAAGACTAAAGAGACAAGCTGTACATCCTTTAAGTTACACCTGAAATATAATACAAAAGCAGCCTTAAGATTTCAACAGGTGAGAAGAAGACAGGAAGAAACTTAATTTAAACATTTATCTCAAGGGATGGAAAGATGAGTGAAGAATCAATTATTTTCATGGAATAGATATTGTGTGTAGATAAATAAAATCATTCATATTTTGTGTTTAAGTGAAAGAAAGTTTATTAGGACAGTAAAGGAATAAAAGAATGGCTACTCCATTGGCAGAGAAGCTCTTCAAGGGCTGCTGGTTGCCCATTTTTACAGTTATTTCTTGATTATATGCTAAACAAGCAGTGGATTATTCATGAGTTTTTCAGAAAAGGGGTGGGAAATTCCTAGAACTGAGGAATGAAGGTTTCTGATAACTTTGGAGATTGTGACATCAAGATAGAGGGAAAACTTTCAGGACTAATGGACAGCTGAAGTGTTCATGAATATTGAGCAGGACAGGAATTAACTGCAGGGACTAAACTAACAGACTTCTAAAGTAATATTTTTGACTTTTTGCTTAAAATGTTGCTGATCCTTTGTTTTGTTTTTCAGAGTTAAGGAAACTTTTAAGCTATTGACAATTTTTAACAAATGCGTAAAATACTCATGTGAACATATTGTGTTATTAAATCAAACAGAAAAATGTAGTTGTGAAACAGAAAGTGTTTGAAAATGGTTTGAAAACTAATAATTTTATTTCTTATTTATTAATGTCTAATGATGTCAGTTTTTTAAAGGCACAAAGAGCAATGTATACATATATTTGGGTTGGGGTTGTTCTGATGGTAGAGGTTTATCAGTTTGATTAGATATCAGAATATCAGTTACTAAAATAAATTGTAAATATTGGCATAAAAACTAATATGGATTTAGTAGAATAAAAGAGAAAATTTACCAATAGACCTTAATATATTTGAGAATTTACTATTCACTAGTCCAGAGCTCAAAGAATATTTAATAAGGTTGCTAGGGTTTTCTAAGATTTTTTAAAATATTTATGGGTACATAGTAGGTGTGTATATTTATAGGGTATATTAGATGTTTTGATACAGACATGCAATGGGAAATAAGCACACCATGGGGAGTGGGGTAATAATCCCCTCAAGTATTTATTTTTTGAGTTACAAAAATCCAGTTACACTCTTTAAGTTATTGTAAAAAGTACAATTAGGTTATTATTGACTATAGTCACCCTATTGTGCGATCCAATAGTAGATTCTATTTATTCCTCTTTTTTATTTTTGTACTCATTAACCATCCCCACTTCCACTCAAGTCCTCCACTACCTTTCTCAGCCTTTGGTAACCATACTGCTACTCTTTATGTCCATGAGTTTAATTGTTTTAATTTCCAGATCACACAAATAAATTAGAACATGCAATTTTTGTCTTTCTGTGCCTGGCTTATTTCACTCTACATAATGATCCCCAGTTCCATTCATGTAGTAACAAATTACAGGATCTCATTCTTCTGTATGGCTAAATAATACTCCATTGTGTATATGTACCAGATTTTCTTTATCCATTCATCTGTTAATGGACACTTAAGTTAAACTGAGCTATTGTAAACAGTGCTGCAGCAAGCATAGGAATGCATATATTTCTTCAATATACTGATTTCCTTTCTTGGGGTATATACAAAGCAGTGAAATTGCTGGGTCATATTTTAGTTCAATTTTTAGTTTTTTGAGGAACCTCCAAACTGTTCTCCATAGTGCTTATACTAATTTACATTACATCCAACAGTGTACAATGGTTCCCTTTTCTCAACATCATCACCAGCATTTATTATTTCTTGTCTTTTGTATATAATCCATTTTAACTGAGGTGAGATGATATCTCATTGTAGTTTTGATTTGCATTTATCTAATAATCAATGATGCTAAGCACATTTTCATATGCCTGTTTGCTGTTTGTTTGTCTTCTTTGAGAAATCTCTATTCAAATCTTCTGCCCATATTTTATTGGATTATGAATTTTTTCATATAGAGTTGTTTGAATTCCTTATATATTGTGGTTATTATTGCCTTATCACATGGGTAGTTTGCAAATATTTTCTCTCATTCCCTAGGCTGATTCTTCACTTTATTGATTGTATCCTTTGCTGTGAAGAAGCGTTTTAACTTGATGTGATCCCATTTGTCCATATTTAATTTCGTTGCCTATGGTCGTGGAGTACTGCTACAAAAATCTTTGCCTAGACCAATGTCATGAAGATTTTTCCCAATATTTTCTTGTAGTTGATTCATAGTTTCAGATCTTAGATTTAAGTGTTTAATTCATTTTTATTTGTTTTTTGTATACAGTGAGAAATTGAGGTCTAGAATTATTCTCCTCAATGTGGATACACAGTTTTCCTAGCACGATTTATTGAAGAGACAATCTATTCCCCAGTGCATGTTCTTGGCAACTTTTGTCAGGGCATGTGAAATTGTTTCTGGGTTTGCTATTTTATTCCATTTGTCTATGTGTCTGTTTTTATGCCAATATTATGCTGTTTTGTTTACTATAGCCCTGTAATATAATTTGGTCAAGCAATGTAATTTTTTTTTTTTTTTTTTTTTGCTTAGGATTGCTTAGACTATTCTGGTTTTTTTGTGGTTTCATATAAATTTTAGGCTTTTTTTTCTATTTTTGTGAAGAATGTCATTGATGTTTTGATAGGCATTTCATTTACTCTGTAGATTTCAAGTCATATGTACATTTTAATAATATTGATTCTTCCAATCCAGGAAAATGAAGTATTTTTTAATTTTTTGATATATTCTCCAATTTTTTCTTCATTGTTTTATAGTTCTCTTTCTAAAAATCTTTCTAATTTTTGGTTAATTCTTAGGTATTTATTTAATTTTATGTATGGCTATTGTAAATGGGCTTACTTACTTAAATTTATTTTCAGATTGTTCACTGTTTGCATATAGAAATGGTACTGATTATAGTAGCAACATAGATTTCCTGTTCCTTTTTATTTGTTTATTTTGTATCATGTAACATTACTGAATTTGTTTATGAGTTCTTATCTCCTGTCAGATAAGCCATGGCATTAAATTCTCATAGGAGCTTATCAGTTCTAATAGTGTTTTAGTGGAGTCTTTAGGTTTTTCCAAATATAAATTATATCATCTGCAAACAGGAATAATTTGACTTCTTCCTTTCCAATTTGGATGCCCTTTATATCTTTCTCTTGTCTGATTACTCTAGCTAGGATTTCCAGTACTATGTTGAATAACAGCGGTGACAGTGAGCATCCTTGTCGTGTTCCTGATCTCAGAGAAAAGGTTTTTGGATTTTCCTCATTCAGTATGATATTAGTGGGGGAGGGTCTGTCATATATGATATTTATTGTGTTGACATACGTTTCTTCTATCCCCAGGTTTTTAGGGTTTTTAGAATGAAGTGATGTGAAATTTTATCAAATGATTTTTCAGCATCAACTGAAAAGATTATATGGTTCTTATTCTTCATTCTGTTTTTATGATGTATTATATTGATTGATTGGTATATGTTGAAGCATCTTTGCATCTCAGGGATAAATCCCACTTGGTCGTGATGAATGATCTTTCTAATGTATTGTTAAATTTGGTTTGCTATAATTATATTCAGGATTTTTGCATCAATTTTCATCAGAGATATTGGCCTGTGGTTTTCTTTTTTGGACTTGTCTTTGTCTGTTTTGGTATCATGGTGATAGTGGCCTCATAGAATTAGTTTGTAAATATTCCCTCTGCCTTCATTTTTTGGGATAGTTTGAGTAAGATTGGTATGAATTCTTCTTTAAGTCTTTGGTAGAATTCAGCAGTGAAGGTATAAGGTCCAGGCCTTTGTTTAGCTGGATAGTTTTTCTTATGGCTTCAATCTCATTACTTGTTAATAGTCTATTCAGGTTTTATATTTCTTCCCAGTTCAATGTTGGTAGGTTGTATGTATCTGGGAATTTCTTCTTTTTTATAGATTTTCTCATTTATTGGCATACAGCTGTTCCTTGTAGCCACTAATAATCTTTTGAATTTCTGCAGTATCAGCTTTAATGTCTCCTTTTCATTTCTTATTTCATTTATTTTAATATTTTCTCTTTTTCTCTTAGTTGGCTTAAAGTCTTGTCAATTTTGTTAAACTTTTTAAGAAAATAACTTTTTGTTTCATTTTTATTGCATTTATTTCTGCTATGGTCTTCATTATTTCTTCTCTTCTACTAATAATCTATTCTGGCCTATGAGGTTTCAACTGAAAAGTCTGCTGCCAGTCATATTGGAGCTCCATTGTTTGTTATTTGTTTCTTTTCTCTTGCTGTTTTGGGATACATTCTTTATCTTTGACCTTTGTGAGTTCCATTATTAAATGTCTTAAAGCAGTCTTCTTTGGATTAAATCTGCTTAGTGTTCTCTAATCCAGGGGTTCTTAAACCCCTGCCATGGACCACTACTGGTCCGTGGCCAGTTAGGAATTGGGCCACACAGTAGGAGGTGAGTGGCAGGTGAGAGATCATTGCCACCCGAGCTTTGCCTCCTGTCAGATAAATGGTGATATTAAATTCTCATATGAGTACATATCCTATTGTGAACTGGGCATGTGAGGGATCTAGGTTGTGTGCTCCTTATAAGACTCTCAATGCTTGATGATCTGAGGTGGAGCAGTTTCCTCCCAAAATCACCCCACTCCCCAAGCGACCCTTGAAAAAAATTATCTTTTTTAAAGCCAGTCCCTCGTGCCAAAAATGTTGGCAATCACTGCTATGACTTCTTGTTCTTGTTCTTGGATATTGATCTCTTTCACTAGCTTTGGGAAGTTCCCTCTTATTTATTTGAATAAACTTTCTACTCCTATCTCTTTCTCTACCTCCTTTTTAAGAACACTAACTCTTAGATTTGCCCTTTTGAGCCCATTTTTTTAGATTCTGTAGGCATGCCATCTTTTTTTATTCTTTTTCCTTTGGTCTTCTCTGACTGTGAATTTTTAAATAACCTGTCTTCAAGTTAAATAATTCTTTCATCTGTTTCACTCATTTGGCTTTTAAAGGACTCTGATGCATTTTTCAGCATGCCAATTGCATTTTCTAACTCCAGAATTTCTGCTTGATTCTTTAAAATTATTTCCATCTCTTCGTTAAATTTATCTGATAGAATTCTGAATTCCTTCTCTATGTTATCTTGAATTTTCTCAACACAGCTATTTTGAATTCTCTTGGTGAAAGGTCACGTATCTCTGTTTTTCTATAATTATTCATTTGACAGGGTTATGATTTCCTGGATGGTATTGATGCTAGTAGATGTTCTTTAGTGTCTGGGCATTGAAGAGTTAGGGATTTATTGTAATCTTCACCATCAGAGCGTATTTGTATCAGTCCATCTTGGGAAAGCTTTCAAGATATTTAAAAGGACTTGTGTGTTGTGATCTAAGCTGTATTTGCTTTAGGGAGCACCCTGAACCCAGTAACGCTGTGGTTCTTGCAGACTCGTAGAGGTCCCACCTTGATGATCTTGAACCAGGTGCAGAACAATTCTCTGGATTACCAGTTGGAGACTCCTGTTCTCTTCCCTTTCTTTTTCCCAAACATACAGAGTCTCTCCCTCCCTATTCTGAGCCACCTAAAGCTGGGGGTAGAGTGACACAAGCACCCCTGGGGCTACCACTACTATGACTGTGCTGGATCAGACATAAAGCCAGGGTAGCTCTGGGTTCTGCCCAAGGCCTGCTGTAACCACTCCCTGGCTACTGTCTATGTTCACTCAAGGCCCTGGGGCTTTAAAATCAGTGTTGGCAAAGCCAGCCAGGCCTGTGTTTTTTCCTTTAGAGTGGTGACGTCCCCTAGGTCCCAGCTGAATTCTGAAGTGCTGTCCACTAGTCAGCAACTAGAGTCAAAAAACGTGTAAGTCTACCTGGTGTTTTGTATTGTGACTGAGCTGGCCCTTAAACCACAAGACACAGTTCTTCCCTCTCTTCTCTCTCCTTTCCAAAGGTAAGGGAGCCTCACCGCATAGCTGTTGCCAGCTCAGGCCATGAGGAATACTGCCAGACTACCACTGATGTTCCCTTAAGGCCTAGAGTCTCTTAAGTCATCTTTTGGTGGATACTGCCTAGCCTGGGACTCATCCTTCATGTTAGTGGACTTCCCTATGACCCAAAGCAAGTGCAGAAATGCCATTCAAGAGTCAAGTCTTGTGATCAGCAATGCCAAGAGTCCACTTGGTGCCTATTCCCCTATGGTGCCTATTCCCCTATGGCTTTGCCAGTACCTAAGATGCAAGACAAATTTCCCTCTAATTTTTCCTCTGCTTTTCTCAAGCAGAAGAAATTTTATCCCGTAGCCACCACAGCTGGTAATGTGCTGAGTCTCACCTGAAGCCAGCAAGTCTTGGAGGCTCACCCAAGGCTACCTCGATGTAGTACCTGGATATCACTGCTTGTTATTCAGGGACCAAGGGCTCTTCAGTTAGCAGGAGATGAATGCTGCCAGGACTGAGTTATTCTCTTCAAAGTAGCAGCATCCCTTCTATCCCAGGATATGTCTAGAAATGTCATCCGGGAGGTAGCACCTGGAATAAGGACCTCATGATGCTGACCGTTGTCTATCATGCTGTGGTTGAGCTGGTATCCTAGATGCAAGGCAAAGTCCTCCCCACTCTTTTCTCGATTGGAATAAAAAAAGTGTCTTTTGGAGCCACAAGCTGTGCAGCCTGAGGTTAGAGGAGAGGTGATGCCATTACTCCCTTGGCTGCCCTAGCTGGGGTTTCAGTATACCATGTGCCCCCTTAGTCCACTGTCTTTGGGCCTAGTTCAGCACGAAGACCCTCCTAAGATTTGCAGTTCTTATGTTGTAGACTGCCTATTGAGTTTACTTGGAGACACAGAATGCTGCAGCCCTCAGTGCTGAGGTTTGCTGGCACTCAATTCAGTCCATTGGAATTGGTGATTTCCCTCTGGCTAGGGCTGGTTTAAAGGCTCTCTGTGTGGGTGGGCATCAGCTGAGTTTGGTCTGGTTTTCCTTTCTGCTCTAACAGGACAGCACTGAGTTCAATGCCTTGCAATTGCTGTGATCTCCCTCCCCCAGTGCCCAGAGAAGCTCTCTTCAGCATACTGTCACTTCCAGGGTTGGGGAAGTGGTGGTGTCTGTGATTCAAGGTTGTTTTCTTCTCTTCAGTCCCTCTTTCAGTGATATAAAGTTAAAACTGAGTACTGCTCATGTACTCAGGGAGTAGTGCTCCCCTGATTTTTGGTGCTCATGAAGGTTTTGTGTTGTTTTGTTTTGTTTTCTGTGTAGTAGTTCTTAACTTGGTTTCCTTGCAGTGGAGGTGATCGGTGGAGCTTTCTTTTCTGACATCTTGCTCTGCCTCTATCAGATTGCCGGTTTAACCAACTATTCATCTGTGAATTCAATATAGCAAAAAACAAAACTAAATTTTGGATGGATTTAATATTTGAAATAATCAAACTGAGTACGGTACTGGGTTTTCCAGAGAGACAAAACCAAAAAGATGTGCATGTATAAAGGAATTGCCTCACAAGATTATAGAAGCCAGTGAGTACAAAATCTGCTCTGCGGGCCAGCAACCCAGAGATCCAGGACAGCCAATGATACAGATAAAGTTCAAAGGCAGTCAACTGGAGAATTTCCCCTTGTTTAGGGAGCCTGGGTTTTTTTTTTTTTTTTTTTTCTCTCTCTATTTAGATCTTCGACTAATTAGATGAGGCCCACTCACTTTATAGAGGGCAATTTTTTTGCTCAAAGTTCACTGATTTAAATGTTTATTTCACCCAAAAAGAACCTTTAAATTGACACATAAAATTAACTATAATAAATACACAACACAAAATACTTGAGAATAGTAAGGAGGATTAAGTAATGAGTTTCTGAGCAAATGTAGAAGTGGTGCCAACTAAGAAACCCCCTATGCCTTTTCTTTCTGCCTAGCGATGAATGTAATTGCAGTGAGTTTGGTATTTTCTCTTGAACTGTATATACTTTGCTAAAACTATATTTTTCATTGCTTAACCAAAGGTGGGAGATGGGGGATTGAAATGGAGATCAATGAGGCATTAAATTACCAGGATATGTCTGTTCTTTCTGGTTCAGCCTGCCCCTCCAAGGATGTTACTGAAAAGCAAGGAGTTACTTTTTATAGAGTTGTTTACCCTTGAGAGAAATGATTTAAGAAAAAGTTTATTTTTTGTGGTTACAATAGTTCTATTTCTGAAGATAAAATTTAGTAGTTATGGAAATAATATTTTTATGGCCAGATTTTGATGAAAAATATAATGTTTTCTCCAGTTTATTTGCTTTTCCCCTAAATTTGCACATTTAAGTGAGCACTTCTACATTCCACTCATCAATAAAATATCAGAAATGTTATTTAAAATTTATGTACTTCATTAATATGTTTATAAAACATGTTTTTCTGTAAGATGAATTCAAAATTAGGAATACACACTAAATTTACACTATTCATTAACTGACAAAAAAATATGCAAATGAAAAATGACTGAAATTGGAATACTTTTATTTTTTATAATGCTCATTAAACAGATATAAATGTTTTCAATTCTGGTATCTGGTGAATATAATTGATGCTATGTTACAAAATATTACTCCTGCTGACCTTGTCATTCTTCATACTTTCTATACAATTTTATAAAATATAATTCATCCTTGACTGAGTAAAAGAGTTCTTTCAAGGTTGCCCTAGAGTAAGAATTATATTAGGAATTAGGAATGAAGTGCTAGTTGTAAAGAGAAACCAATAATTCACTTTTTTTAAAAAAAAAGTAGAAGTCTGGCTTTCAAAAAGATTATTTAATTAAATTTCTCTTTATAAAATAGACTAGGTGGCTGGTATCAAACACTACTATTATTTCTTCCCTTATAAATATTCAAGAAATAGAGCCATTATTTTTATTCAGAGAGGTAAAAATCACAAAAATGAGGATCTTTTCTGTCCCCCTCCCCTTTAACTTTGCTTCAGTGAACTTGGCCTCAGCATTCCTCCGTAAGCAAGAAAGACCATCAGGCAATAGATGTTATTTACTGTTTCAATGTATTTTTTTTTCTTATTTGCCAATTCATAGCAAGTTTTCATTATCAGTGTCCTCTAACTCCCACAGTTGACTATTCTTTTTACCATGTTCCACTTATTTCTGACTTTCTTTTTTCCTGCAGAGGTTGTGAAAAGTGTTTCTCTGATGTATCCTCTTTCTCTCACTTTCATGTATGGCTTTCTTTGTATTTTTCATATTAATTATCCTATGTGGAGGCCTCTTACATAGAGAATTTGAAAGCAGTTATCTTCCCTGTCTCTACTGTGATTAGAAAACTCTTCAACCAATCCGTAGAACCTTCTACCATCATGGAATCTATTTGCACTACTAGATAATAGTTTCAATTTTCTTTTGCTATCCTTTATTAAATTATTTCAGTTTAGATAGACTTTCTAAGTTTCATTTTTCTCACACTATATTTAAGCATTAAAATAGAAAATGTTTAGCCAGCTGCATGAGGTCAATTATATTCCTTTGACATTAATTATGTTTTATGTGTCAACAAATACATATTATGCTCAGAGAATGCTTATTTGAGCTGTCTTTCATAGAGGGTAATTACAAAATAATGAAATTTAAATGAAACATAGTCAATTTGAGAGTACAGTATATGAAGAAAAACAGAAGTGAGACTAATTTGTCTCTTTATTGACTACCTCCTGTGGAGATAGATGGATGTTTGTTCTAGCTTTTCAGGTACTACTGTTCCCAGTGGTAGAGGTGATGCAGGCATACTCATCACTAATTACCAAATAAATTACATTAAGCAAATATTTGCTGAGTGCTTTACATGTGAGAGAAGAAAAATAATAGGTAAGAAAGGATATGTTCACTTAAGAGGTAGTTGCTTCATTCTTAATTTGACTAGGTAAAATTTCACTGTGGGGTGTCATAAAAGCACCCAAGTGAGGAGTCTATGATTTATAAGATTCAGTATTATATAAATGTGAATTCTCCCTCAAGCTAATCTTCATATTTAATTCAATCCTGTGACAGAGTTAAAATATGCTGTTCTGCTATATTTACTGTTTAAATTAAAGACACTTTAAAAAGAGTAGATGCGAAAAGATCATTTTGAGCTTCATGCTGTTTCTTAAGAGCAGGAGATGAAATTCCTGTTAGAAAGATTGTCTACCTGTACTCCAGCAAAAGGCAACATTCTTATCCTCAAGAGTAAGCAGTTGAGATCCAAAGAATACGGTACAGATCTTGTTAGAATGACTGTTATCTTTTAAGTAAGCCTCCACACATAATTAAATCACAGTTTCACATTTTACTATATTTTGTCCAATCCGCTATGTTAGTAACTCACCCTAACTGCTTCTTTAGGGCCTTTATTTCTTTATAAGGGTCCCTGTGCCATGTCAAACATATTATACTTTTCTCCTATTAATCTATGCTATGTTAATTTAATTATTGGACACAGCTAGGATCCTAGGAGAATGGACATGAGGTTTTTCCACCCCTACAATATCCAGGGAAAAATATTTAAATGTAAAGATAAAATAAAGAGAAATTTGTTGCCAGAAACCTTGATTAAAATAAATAAAGCGAGTGCTTCAGGAAGAAACGCAATAATATCAAACATAAACCTTGAAATGCACAAGAAAAGAAAAAAAAAACACTGAGAATTAAGTAAGATATCTTGTGTTGAACCATATTAAATTGATATATATATATAGGAAAAAATAGTAGAATATTGGTAATTATATAAAATTCCACCTAATATATTAATATGAACTATGACCAGAAACAACTGTAATGATATCTGGAGTATCATATATATTAAACTAAAATGCATGTCATAAACAACCCTAACGATGGAAGGGAGAAAATTGATTTAAAAGTTTTGGCTGGGTGTAATAGCTCATGCTTGTAATTCGAGGGCTTTGGGAGGCGGAGGGGGGCTGGTCATGATGTCAAGAGATGGAGACAATCCTGGCCAACGTGGTGAAACCCCGTCTCTACTAAAAATACAAAAATTAGCTGGGCGTGGTGGCCCGAACCTGTAGTCCTAGCTACTCAGGAGGCTGAGACAGGAGAATCACTTGAACCCAGGAGGTGGAGGTTGCAGTGAGCCCAGATTGTGCTTAGCTTGGCAACAGAGAGAGACTCCACCTCAAAAAAAGAAAACAAACAAACAAACAAAAAATTTTAAAGTTTATGCAATCTCAGCAAAGTGACAATCAAAAACTTTACATTACCAAATTTATTTGGTACTTTAGGCTGAAAACATGAAGTATGTACATGATATTTAGGATAGTCACTAATAATAATAATTATATTAATATCGACTTAGCAGAATAAAAATACAATAAAATCAGTAATCAAAAGGAGGCCAAAGAAAGAAAAATGAAATATACAAATGCAAATATTTATTTCTTAGTTGCCTTTAACAATGAGTGGTAGCTTAATGATGCTCTAGGTTTGTTTTTGTGTGGAGATAGAAAGGAATGCTAATGTGGCCAGGCGCAGTGGCTCACACGTGTAATCCCAGCACTTTGGGAGGCCGAGGTGGGTGGATCACGAGGTCAGGAGTTCCAGACCATCCTGGCCAACAAGGTGAAACCCCGTATCTACTAAAAAAAAAAAAAAAACAACAACAACAAAACAACAACAACAACAAAACAATAATTAGCTAGGCATGGTGGCGCGTGCCTGTAATCCCAGCTACTCAGGAGCCTGAGGCAGGAGAATCCCCTGAACCAGGGAGTGGGAGGTTGCAGTGAGCTGAGATCGCGTCATTGCGCTGCAGCCTGGCGACAAAGTGAGACTCCGTCTCAAAAACAAAAAGAAACAAACAAACAGAAAGGAAGGCTAATGCTCACCATTAGGATAACATCAAACTACTTTCAGTTACTGACAATTCTGAATACGGATATTAAGAGTAAATAAGAAAAAAAGAAGTTTTACTATCCTTGTGGCACAATTCTGAAAAATGATGCCATGTATTACATATGAGTTCCGAGTTTCAAAATGATTCATGGCATAGAATAAGCTGACATAATCAAAATAGATGTAGGAAACGCTAAAAGTTAGCAACAAAGGCTAAAATGTCAGGAGTGTGGTTTTCACACCTGAAAAAATTACATAACAATGACAGGGGACCACACAAAAAATTATATAACTGTAAAACATTCTATGGCTATTAAACAAAAAGAAGATCTACCATGATATAAGTAGCTTGAATCAGAAGGTAAATCAATGTGGTGCTTCCTTCATTGAGAAATTTTGATTTGAAAAATGTAACCAGGACTACAGTGTGATGAATTAATTGTTTGAGTTAAATTCTAGTAAAATCTGATTGACTCTATGCACACCCTATAAATCAAACTTGGAATAGCAATAGATTCTAGCATATGATATTGAGTGGAAAGATTCTCTAACCAAAATTCTGCGTCCCCTCATTCCTGGGTTAAGGTGCATTGCCTTAAAAAGTGAATTAAGAAAGGGTCATACAAATAGATTCTACATTTTCTATAGTATGAAATATAAAATATTCTGAATAAACTTATAATGATTTGTGGTACAGTTTGCCATGCTGACTTCTTAATGTGACAACCAGACTATATTTCTTAGTCTCCTTGAGTCTAAATAACAATGTGACTAGTTCTCACCAATGTAATGTGAGTGGAAGTGTCATTTCTAGGTTGAGGTACTAAAAAGTGGAAGTATGTTCTCCAGTCTTTTTTAAAAATTAATTTCAATCCACTATTTAAATCAAGAGAACTCTGAGGACCTTGATGAAAGGAGAGCTGCCAAAATTAAGAAGATTGGCTCCAGAATTACATCTTAAATTCTTGTCATTCAGATGAGCCACACACCCAGAAATACCTTTGTAAGTAGTTGCATGGGGAGAAAATAATTACATTTTTTAAATACCAAGGCACTGAGATTTTAAGTTTTAGCTTCTATACCATTCAATACTACTTATCCTCACTAATAAGAAACAAAATTTTGTCTTTATTTTTCTACATTTATCTATCTGCATAAATAATATGTACACATTACTTAATTCCTTTTCAAAACATTTGTAGCTTTCTTTAACTACTTTGCAGAAGGACACAAGTAAAATAAAAATCCTCTTGAGTATTTAATGGTGTGGAAACCAATATAGGTATTTTGCTTGATAAATAATGAATAGCCAAGTCTCAGCTCTCAGCGAATTCATAGGCTAGTAGAAGGGGAGATGAAATAGTTAGGTAACCTTAATGAAAAGAAGAACAAAATGTCAGTTATCATAGAGATTAAATTAATATAAATAGGGAACAGATTTCTAAATGGAACTCAGTTGGATATCGGAATGTCAGATCAGTGTACATGGAGTCTGAAAAATGCTTATTTTAAATATTTAGGTGTATTTGTAAATCTACAAAATTTGTACCAACATAGACAACTATTATTTCTTGACTGAATTAGAGTTTTAGCATTAGTCTGCATAGATGGCATAAATATCTATTGTTTATGTAAATCTAGGTTGGGTAATATTTATTTTGTGTCCTTTTTGTTTTTTTGTTGTTTTTCTGTTTTTTTGAGACAGAGTCTTGCTCTGTTGCCTGGGCTGGAGTGCAGTGGTGGCGCGATCTTGGCTCCCTGCAACCTCTGCCTCCCAGGTTCAAGCAATTCTCCTGCCTCAGCCTCCCCAGTAACTGGAATTACAGGCACCTGCCACCAGGCCCGGCTAATTTTTTGTATTTTAGTGGAGATGGAGTTTCACCGTGTTGCCCAGGCTGGTCTCGAACTCCTGAGCTCAGGCAATACTCCTGCCTCGGCCTCCCAAAGTGCTGGGATTACAGGAGTGAGCCATAGCACCATCCCTATTTTGTGTCCTTCTTTTTTTTTTTTTTTTTAAAAAAAAGAGATTATACTTATATTTGAAATTAAGTAAATCATTTTTATATTTTTATTTATATTCTAAGAGAAAAGTTATGACAGACCAAATTATAATACATGCAAGCAATGAGAGCCTACCAAAAAGAGACAACAAAACTCAGTCAAACCATAAAAAAGTATGTGTAGATTTTGGTTTGGTAAACTGATTTTTCTAATGTAAAAGGTAATTTTCTTTTGTTTAATTCCTTTTTTTAAAAAAAAAAAAAGGAAAGAAAAATTATTTAAAGTGAGAAATGAACTTACTGGGAAATAAAACTTAGGTATAGTTTACAAAATTAGTAGTAGATATTTGGGAAAACAATACAGTTAGGTACAATACAATGTAATATACTCCCAATCAAAGTCGGTTAAGCAATTATTTGTTGGCAATAAAGATCTTTAAAATCTGTTAACTCATTATCTTTAACTAGTAATGCTAATATAAAATCTAGTATCTGGCAGTGTTTTTCCTCCAAATTTTCAAGTTTTGATTTTTTTTTTTTTTTTTTTTTTTTTTGAGACAGTGGAGTTTTGCTCTTGTTGCCCAGGCTGGATTGCAATGGCGTGATCTCAGCTCACTGCTACCTCTGTCTCCAAGGTTCAAGCAATTCTCCTGCCTCAGCCTCCCAAGTAGCTGGGATTACAGGCATGCACCACCACACCTGGCTAATTTTTTATATTTTTAGTAGAGATGGGGTTTGTCCCTGTTGGTCAGGCTGGCTCGAACTCCCAACCTCAGGTGATCCCCCTGCCTCTGCCTCCCAAAGTGCTGGGATTACAGGCGTGAGCCACCACATCTAGCCTCAAGTTTAAAACAAATCCAATTAAAGTCCTGATTAATTTTTTACATGTCATAATTGGTGACATTTTTAGTGTTTTTAGTTTGTAGAAGATATATATTTAAAAATATTTTTCCTGCATCGTTAAAATTTGCAAATAAACTTCATATATTATTAACTCAAATATTTCTTTTAACAAAAACTTGGTTTTAGGAGGAAGTCTCATAAGCACACTGCTTTTAGAAATTAGTTGAGTGAGAATTTTTCAATTAAGCTTTAGAAATTGGAAACATAATTTTAATAAGAGTTTAAGTTCTGCCATTGTTTACAATGACTGTAAAATTCTGATGGCATTATTGCAATACAACTTTAATAAAAGAAGAAAACCATTAATCTCAATAAATATAATTTCATTTGTTTGAATTAATTTTGTTTTGAATTTTGTTTGCTATCATAACATTATTATGCATTTTATAACATCAAATATTATATATTTTTCAAACAATTTCAGTTAAATTAAAAATTTAGATCCCCTTAAGATTGTCTTACAATAGTTTAAAAATTAAATTAACTGAAAGTTATATTTAGATCTAGAAAATAATGTGCAAGTTAATGTTGTTTCAGAAATATAAAATTAAATTTAAAAAATATAGATGCCACTCTCTTAGCTATTAATTTGCTGAATAGAAAGTTGCTATTTGTGTGAATTTTTCTTTACTATTTTTTAACTTTTGTTTATGAGTTGGGACGCACTCAACACTATTGTGCCAGCATACAGAATAACAATAAACATCAGATTATTTTTAGAATTGTCCAAGTTAAATATATCCCTGTAAAACGAGATCTCTCCATTTTGTAAACCAGAAAGCATCTAAAATAATATCTTTGGTTATTTTCCTGAAATATGTTAATGTAAAAAAAATTCAAATTTATAATATAACTTTAAATTTGCCATATTTGTATTCTCTTCAATATGTCTTATGTAAATGAGGGATAAGTTTATAAAAGTGTTTGAAATACAATTATAATTTCCATAAGTTTAGTGGGTTATTGGTTTTCTAACAATTTAAAAGTTAAATAAAAAATCTGTTTTCCAAGATTACTATCACTTTTCTGGTTAAGAATCACTATATTTGGAAAGACAGAATATGTCATACTATGTATTTGAGAATTGTTTTTAGAAGAAGCATGAATAAGCAGAAATTTGCACTGTACATACAGAGATGAGAAATGCAGAAATAGTCTACATACATCTGGCCAAAGCTTTTCAAGTATTTTTACCTGTCTGATCTTCTACACATAAACTTTTCTGAAATTTGATTTTTATTATCTGTAAGGTTCCTATTATGATTTGCTTGTCTTGTGCGTAAAGATTAGTCATTCAGTATTGTTTTTCCTTCCTTTAGGAGACACTGTGCTTTTGCATGAAGCAGTGTATGAGTTTATCATTACTGTGAAATGAACTTAGTGGCTTGAAGCAACACAATTTCATAGTTCCGTTCTGCAGGTCACAAGTCTAGGCAGAGTATAACTGGATTCTCTGCTGATGCTCTCAGGAGGCTGTGAGTAAGCAAAATGTTTGCCATAACTGGGGTTTTTCATCTACAGCTTGGAGTTCTCTTGCAAACCTATTCAAGTTGCTATTAGAATTCAGTTTTCTTTGAGCTGTAGAAATGAAGTCCCTGTTTTCTTACTGGCTGTCAGCCGGGGATCATTTTCTTACTGGCTGTCAGCCGGGGACCATTCCCTGGTAAGGAATATTGCCACCCACATGACTTACCTCTACCTTCAAAGCCAGCAATGGAAAATCTCTCTCACCATCAAATTCATCTCGTGCATAGAAACTCCCCGATTTTGATCTCTCACTAGGGAGTGCTCACAGTCTTTTAAGAGCTCTCTTGATTAAGTGAAGTTCACAAAAGATAATCTTCCTATCTGAAGGTCAACTGTTTTGGGACCTTACATGCATCCACAAAACCCCATCAGAGCTGCACCTAGATTGTTGTTCAATTGAATAATGGCAAAAGGTGTCTGTTTACCATTAGGTAGGGATCTTAGAAGATATCTTAGAATTTTGCCTACCAAAAACAGTGAACAACTCAATCACAATCTCTTCTTTCTTAAAATATGAAGTCAAATTTGGTGGAAAAATCAGTGTCCAAACAATGATTTCTTTGTTTCCTTTTTTTTTTCCAGACAGGGTTTCACTCTGTCATTCTGCCATCCAGGCTGGAGTACCATGGCATTATCATAGCTCATCACAACCTCGAACTTCTGGGCTCAAGCAATCCTCCCTCCTCAACACCCTGAGTAGCTGGGACAATAAGCATGTACCACCACACCTGGCTAACAAATAATGATTTAGGCGGCACGGTGGCTCACGCCTGTAATCCCAGCACTTTGGGAGGCTGAGGCGGGCAGATCACAAGGTCAGAAGATTGAGACTATCCTGGCTAACACGGTGAAACCCATTCTCTACTAAAAATACAAAAAATTAGCCAGGCATGGTGGCAGGTGCCTGTAGTCCCAGCTACTTGGGAGGCTGAGGCAGGAGAATGGCGTGAACCCGGGAGGCAGAGCTTGCAGTGAGCCGAGATCATGCCACTGTACTCCAGCCTGGGCGACAGAGCGAGACTCCATCTCAAAAAAAAAAAAATTAAATTTATGTCTGACAAGTGTTAAACAGAAGTAAACATTGATTTCAGTGCATTTAGCCAAGATTATCTTAACTAGACATCCCAACTGAACTATTTATTTGCACCAAATGCATAATCTTTCTTTAGGGTTCAACTGAAGGCATATAATCTCCCTAAACCTTTCTTTGGTCATCATTTCTCCCCAGACTTAACATGGCATTTGGATGCTGCACTGGTAATTTTCCATTTGCCCCTCCAAGTTCACCTCCTCCCTTCTGACTCTTGCTCTTTGGCAATTTATAGACTATTTTAATAAGACCCTTACCTTCTGTTTTCTGACTGGATTTGACCAGTGGCAGACACCAGCAACAGATTAGAGGTAGGAGGATAGTTATCTTAGTCCATTCTTGCGTTGCTATAAATAAATACGTGAGACTGGGTAATTTATATATAAAAGATGTTTAATTGGCTCACAGTTCTGCAGGCTATACACAAAGCATAGTGCAAGCATCCCCTTTTGGTGAGGGCCTCAGGAAGCTTACAATCATGGCAGAAGGTAGGGGTAACCAGCATGTCACGTGGTGATAGTAGGAGCAAGAGACAAAGTGGAAATGTCTCAGATTTTCTTAAACAGCCAGATCTTGCAGGAACTAACTGAGAACGCACTTATTATCAAAGGGATGATGACAAGCCATTCATCAGGGATCTGCCCCCATGACCCAATCACTTCCCACCAGGCCCCACCTTCAACACCGGGAGTCACATTTAAACATGAGATTTGAAGGGGAAAACATCCAAATCATATCAGTAGTGATGTGGGGGAATTTATTCTCCCTTTCTGCTAGCTTGTAGACAGACACAGCACCTTTGCAGGAGACCCTTCCTACAATTGTAGCTCTGTGTCTCTGGGCAACCATAACTATTCCCTCTGTTTTTTCTCAAATCTGGGCATGGTAATGGCAACTACCTGCTATTTCTGATGTTGAGGTTCTTTATTATTTCTCTTGTATTTTCCTTAATATTTTTCAAATATTATAAAGATTCTCCTCAATTATTCTATTTGAGGGTGAATTCTGTTTCCTGATACTCTGATACAAATATTTTATTACTCTCTGGTATCCTTTCTTGCCAAAATATTCTCAAATTAGTTTAGGGTGGTGTATTAGTCAGGGCTCTCTAGAGGGACAGATATATATATATATACACACACACATATATATCGAGGGATATATATATGTATATGGTGGAACATATATATATGGTAGAACATATATATATATGGTGGAACATATATATATGGTAGAACATATATATATATGGTGGAACATATATACATATATGGTGGAACATATATATATATATGGAGTTTATTAAGGAGTATTAACTCAGAAAATCACAAGGTCCAACAACAGGCCATCTGCAAGCTGAGGAGCAAGGAAGCCAGTCCAAGTCCCAAAGCTAAAGAACTGTCTCTCAAAAAGAGAGTAGTTATCTAGGCCAGGCACAGTGGCTCACACCTGTAATCCCAGCTGTTTGGGAGGCCGAGGCAGGTGGATCACAAAGTCAGGAGATGGAGACCATCCTGGCTAACCAGTGAAACCCTGTCTCTACTAAAAATATAAAAAATTAGCCGGGTGTGGTGGTGTGTGCCTGTAGTCCCAGCTACTCAGGAGGCTGAGGCAGGAGAATGGCGTGAACCCGGTAGTCAGAGGTTGCAGTGAGCCCAGATTGAGCCACCGCACCCTAGCCTGGGCGACAGAGCGAGACTCCATCTCAAAAAAAAAAAAAAAAAAAAAAAGAGTAGTTTTCTGAAGAAGATAGCAGCGCCTTGCTCCAAAATCCTAGTGGCCTCCCCTGTGATTCACCTATAGGGGCCTGCCAGGGGCTCCAAACAGCATTCCTATCTGCCACTGACACCTCAGGCACCATTGAATCTGCTGGGTCATACGGATCAAGTGGCAGAGTAGCTTGCACAGCAGCCTGGACCTGTTGTAGAGCCTTCTTCTGTTCTGGACCCCACTCAAAACTAGAAGCCTTCTGGATCACTTGATAAATGGGTTGGAGTAACACACCCAAATGACGATTTTGTTGCCCTCAAAATCCAGATAGGCCCACTAGGCATTGTGCCTTTTTCTTGGTTGTACGAGAGGCCAAATGCAGCAACTTACTCTTCACCTTACAAGTAATATCTCGACAGGCCCCACACCACTGGACCCATAAAATTTTTACTGAGGTAGAAGGTCCCTGGATTTAATTCTCATTATCTGGCATGCAAATGTCTCACCAATAAGTCCAGTGTGTTTGCTATTTTTTGCTCACTGGATCCAACCAGTATAATGTCATCAATGTAATGGAGCAGTGTGATATGTTGTGGAAGTGAAAGCGATCAAGATATCTCCAAATAAGATTATGACACAAAGCTGGAGAGTTGATATACCCGTGAGGTAGGACAGTAAAGGTATATTGCTGGCCTTGCCAGCTGAAGGCAAATTGCTTCTGGTGGGCCTTATGGACAGGAATGGAGAAAAGGCATTTGCCAAGTCAATGGCTGCATACCAAGTACCAGGAGATGTGTTAATTTGCTCAAGCAATGAAGCCACATGGGGTACAGCAGCTGCAATTGGAGTCACCACTTGGTTAAGTTTACAATAATCCACTGTTGTTCTCCAAGATCTGTCTGTCTTCACAGGCCAAATAGGAAAGTTGAATGGCGATGTGGTGGGAATCACAACCTCTGTGTCTTTCGAGTTCTTAATGGTAGCACTGATCTCTGCAATGTCTCCAAGGGATATGATACTGTTTTTGATTTACTATTTTTCTAGGTAGAGGCAGCTCTAATGGCTTTAATTTGGCCTTTTCCACCATAATAACTCTCAGCCAACCAGTCAGGGAGTCAATGTGGGGGTTCTGCCAACTGCTAAATATATCTATGCCAATTATGCATTCTTGCACTGGGAAAATGGCCCCAGGATGAGTCCAGGGATCCACTGGACCTACTGTAAGTCAGACCTGAGCTAAAACTGCATTAATTACCTGACCTTCATAAGCCTTTACTTTAACTGGAGGACCACAATAATGTTTTGGGTACCCTGGAATCAACATCAGCTCAGAGTTGGTGTCCAATAGTCCACAAAATGTCTGATATTTCCCTTTCCCCAATGCACAGTTACCTTGGTAAAAGGCTGGAGGTCATCTTGGGGAAGGATGGGAAAAAGATTAACAGAATAAATTGTTGGTAGTGTAGTGGGGTCCTTCCTCAAGGGGACACGACCTTCCCTTCATTCAAGTGGTTCAGGATCTGTAAACTGGCTCAAGTCTGGAAATTGGTTGAGGGGCAGTGATTCTATGTTTTTATAATTCAAATTAGTCTTCTGTCCACTAGACATGGAAGTTTTTTGCTTATATAAATTAGCTTGGAATTTAGTAGACTTCCCATCAATTTTTCTTCTAGAAACACTGTGAATAATTAGCCAATGCCAGAATGCTACACCAATCAGACTGTTCTGATTGCTGTTTTGCCTCTGCTGCCCTTCACAGTAGCTATGCCCACCTTGCCATTGGTGGTTGAGTGCCACAACTTGGCCCCTGCCAACTCAGGATCCAATTATTCACATGGAATTTATATTTTGTGGTTGAGTGACTGTGGTTCCCACTGTTAGAGCTGACATACAGAGAACAGCAATTTCTGGGCTCTTCAAAGATGCAGCTGCTGCTCTCTCAAATCTATTTCACAAAGTGTTGGTCAAGGGTGTATCTTCTGGACCCTCCCAGCTGGTATGAGTAGCTCTAAAGTGACTAATCCACTCCACCATCCCAATCTCCCTAAGCTCCCTTTGGCTCTCTTCCTCTACATTAAACCAAGGGAGATCAGGCTTTTCCATCTCAGTCACAGTGAGCCATCTTTTAATCCATATTTCAGCTAACCAAGCAAATAAACTATTAGACTCTTTTTTAACTCCCCAACTTGCAACATTAAATGCAGAATCCCTACTTAGTAGGCCCAAATTAATAAATTCAGCCTGATTCAACTCTATATTCCCTTCACCATTATCCCACACCCTTAATATCCATTCCCATACTTGTTATTCAGATTTTTGCTTATATAAATTAGAAAACTAAAGCACTTTTTTTCTGAGTGTAGCACACCTCCTCATGGGTCACACTCTGAACCTCACCTTCAGGGGCCCACCAGGACTTTAGTCTAGTTGTAGGTCTAGAAGCAAACAGGGGTATTCGGGGTGGCTCCTGAGGAAATTCAATATTATCTTGCCTGGCAACTGCCTCACGGGAGGCCATCACTGTTGCCTCAGGCAGCACAGAGTTCATCTCCTCAGACAAAGGTGGAAAGGCTGATTGCAGCATGGGTCAGGGAGGGGATGTTGCCAATACTGGGGATGAGGAAGCTGTTTCTTCTGGGAAAAAAAAAGGTTCCTCAGTGTTTACAAGCTCAGCTTCCCCAGCTTCACCAGGGTCCTCTCACACCTCCCCATTCCAAGTTGTAGGGTCCCATTTTTTTTTTCCAGACAATGCCCTCACTTTAACAGTAGACACTTGGGGAGGCTGTGCATGCACCTTTCATTGCAGGTCAGCCACTCACGCGATAAGAGCTTGTGTTTGTTTTTCCACAATTTCAGCTCTTTCTTTACAGGAGGTATGACCCTCATTCAGGGCAAACTTAGCAGATTTGAGGCTCAGTATCTGTTTCTGAAGCTGGGAATTAGAATCCCTGAGTTTATCATTTCCTTTCATCACTTTGTCCAGTGAACTTAGGCACAACCAACCAACTTCATTATGTTTCTTCATTTTTTACATATAGTCAAAAGTATTATGTATAGAGTCACTAAACTCCTTGCCTCTCAGGAGCAGTGAATCAGGAGTGTCAAATGCATTATTTTGCATAACTCTCTAAACAGTTTATGCCAAGGACTATTAGTGTTCTCCATACTATTAGAAGTAGAGTTCTGAACATTTTGGGGTCTAATCATATTAAGCAGCCAGCTCCAGAACTCCCAAAACCAACACAAGAACTCCATTCTTAATATACTGTTCCTCTAGAACTACTCCTGGTATCAAAATTTGTATTAGTCAAGGTTCTCTAGAGGGATAGAATTAATAGGATATATACATCATATATATGTATCCTATATATATGTGAGGATATATATATATATCCTATATATGTGAGGATATATATATCCTATATATGTGAGGATATATATATATCCTATATATGTGAGGATATATATATCCTATATATGTGAGGATATATATATATATTCTATATATGTGAGGATATATATATATTCTATATATGTGAGGATATATATATATATTCTATATATGTGAGGATATATATATATTCTATATATGTGAGGATATATATATATATGAGTTGATTAAGAAGTATTAACTCACACAATCACAAGGCCCCACAATAGGCCATCTGCAAACTCAGAATCAAGGAAGCCAGTATGAGTCCCAAAGCTGAAGATCTTGGAGTCTGATGTTCGAGGGCAGGAAGCATCCAGCACAGGAGAAAGATATAGGCTTGCAGGCTGAGCCAGTTTAGTCTTTTCACGTTCTTCTGCCTGCTTTTTATTCTGGCCGTGTTGGCAACTGATTCGATTGTGCCCACCCCGACTAAGGGTGGGTCTTTCTTTCCCAGCCCACTGACTTAAATGTTAACTTCTTTTGGCAGCACCCTCACAGACACACCTAGGATTAATACTTTGCATCCTTCAATCCAAGCAAGTTGACATTATTAACCATCACAGGTAGCAATGTGCTATGTAAAATATATGAGATCATGAAACACTATTAGTACCAATGGGACATAATCAGATGGTCATTTCAGCTTACATTTCCATTACAGATTGAGAGGTGACAGCGTGCTGGCAGCCCTTGCAGCCCTTGCTCACTCTCAGCACCTCCTCTGCCTGGGCTCCCACTTTGGTGGCACTTGAGGAGCCCTTCAGCCCACCGCTGCACTGTGGGAGCCCCTTTCTGGGCTGGCCAAGGTCGGAGCTGGCTCCCTCAGCTTGCAGGGAGGTGTGGAGGGAGAGGCGTGAGCGGGAACCGGGGCTGCATGTGGCGCTTGTGGGCCAGCTGGATTGCCAGCTGGGCGTGGGCTTGGCTGCCCCGCACTCGGAGTGGCCGGCCGGCCCTGCCAGCCCCAGGCAATGAGGGGCTTAGCACCTGGGCCAGTGGCTGCAGAGGGTGTGCTGGGTCCCCCAGCAGTGCCAGCCTACTTGCGCTGCACTGAATTTCTCACTGGGCCTTAGCTGCCTCCCCACGGGGCAGGGCTTAGGACCTGCAGCCTGCCATGCCTGAGTCTCCTCCCCCCCACCGTGGGTTCCTGCATGGCCTCAGTCTCCCCGACAAGCACCGCCCCCTGCTCCACGGCACCTGGTCCCATCGACTACCCAAGGGCTGAGGAGTGCGGGCGCACAGCGCGGGACTGGCAGGCAGCTCTACCTGTGGCCCAGGTACGGGATCAACTGGGTGAAGCCAGCTGGGCTCCTGACTCTGGTGGGGACTTGGAGAACCTTTGTGTCTAGCTAAGGGATTGTAAATACACCAATCGGCACTGTATATCTAGCTCATGGTTTGTAAACACACCAATCAGCACCCTGTGTCTAGCTCTGGGTTTGTGAATGCACCAATCGACACTCTGGATCTAGCTACACTGGTGGGGACTTGGAGAACCTTTGTGTCGACACTCTGTATCTAGCTAATCTAGTGGGGATGTGGAGAACCTTTGTGTCTAGCTCAGGGATTGTAAACGCACCAATCAGCAACCTGTCAAAACAGACCACTCGGCTCTCTGTAAAATGAACCAATCAGAGGATGTGGGTGGGGCCAGATAAGAGAATAAAAGCAGGCTGCCCGAGCCAGCAGTGACAACCCGCTGGGGTCCCCTTCCACACTGTGGAAGCTTTGTTCTTTCACTCTTTGCCATAAATCTTGCTGCTGCTCACTCTTTGGGTCCACACTGCCTTTATGAGCTGTAACACTCACCGCAAAGGTCTGCAGCTTCACTCCTAAAGCCAGCGAGACCACGAACCCACCAGGAGGAATGAACAACTCCAGACGCGCTGCCTTAAGAGCTGTAACACTCACCACGAAGGTCCAAGCTTCACTCCTGAGCCAGCGAGACCGTGAACCCCACCAGAAGGAAGAAACTCCAAACACATCCAAACATCAGAAGGAACAAACTCTGGAGACACCGCCTTTAAGAACTGTAACACTCACCGCGAGGGTCCACGGCTTCATTCTTGAAGTCAGTGAGACCAAGAACCCACCAATTCCAGACACAAGATGACAACGATGGCATTTTCTTCCTTCTTGCTTCTTCCTGCCTGGTTAGAAAAAGGAAATATATTACCACAAAATCATAAGCCCGTGGTAAAAAAACTCAGCCTTAAAGTGTGAAAGTGAAAAGATAGAAACAGACTGAATTTCTGAAAACAACTTTGAGTCACCATGCTAGTTGTGCACTTCATGATACAAACAAATCCTACTGTCAGTAGTTTTTTTAATTGCAGAAGGCAGATGAATGTATTCCTTATGAATGTATCCACCCACTCTGTTTTGTTCATGCTCCTTTCCATACAACAATGTAATCAGCAGGTTAAGTGAAGAAATATACGTTCAAGGAACTTTACTTTACTATTTCTCTTGACCATGACCAGACCAGAAGCAGATAAAATTGGTCAGTATCTCCCAAGAGATTCTTAAACATGCACATTCAAGTTAATGCTTTAATACACATATTCTTCTAATTTAATTTTACCAGTAGATACACATCAAGACTCTTCTCTGGACTTTCTCATAATATATTGCAAAAGTTTGACACCGTCAGCTTCTAAATTATAATTATTAATTTACTTATATTTATTTTTACTTTATAATCAGGAAGTAGAGTGGGGATCAGAGCATAATACTATTTTAGTAAACTATTTCATTGTTTTCAGCTCATCTCACACTGTACTTCTGGTAGCAAGAAAGCAAATCATTACATCTTGTTTGATTGCTCCTCCATATCAACGTGATGATTGTGTATATTGTCCTCAATTTGCTTGCATGACTCATTACATTTCTGCCAAATATTCCAGTGGATATTTTCTGTTACTAGATTAATGCACTCTCTGATTCTTTCTCTGATAAGTATGTCTCACTTCACATTTTATCTCAGACAGGTTAATAGCTGCCCTCCTTAGCGACATTTAGAAAATGAGATGAACAGAAACCAGCATGTTTTATTATTATTTCCAAGAAACTTTTATTCCTTTACCCACATTTGGGGTCACATAAGAAGTCTGAGATTTTGATCAGACATCTGCCTTTATAGAGGCTTCCGGTAATTAAGCCTGAGAATGTTTTCAGCCTATAAAGAGAGGAATGAATTTAAAAGATAGCAAGAAGGAACAATCAAGATGTTAGTGAATTGTATTTAAAAACATTTGGGGAGAAGAAATTTCATAGTACATGATATCTGACAATTAGTGATATTTGATAGAGAAGTATCAGATTTTGTAAAGAAATAATATTTTGAAATTAGAAGACCAGAAAATAAGGCCATGTGAGCCTTTTTTAATGGGATATTATTTAACATAACATTCACCTAATTCTGATTTTTGAGGCTGAGCTTTGCTACAGACCTTTAGGCTTTGACTGTGAGCTACTGAGATGAGATAGGAATAAGATAAAATAAACCAAAAATTTAATGTGAGAAAGTGAAATGGTTGGCTTGTTGAACTTGGTTGTATTTTACTAATATGATATAAAATGAAGCCATTTGCTGAATTGATAAGAGAATGCTAGGTAATGTTTTTATAAAGTTCTAATTTTGTCTCATTTTTATAATGGTAACAATTAAAACTGAAATTGCATTACCAGTATGGTTACTGCTATGCTGATATTTCATAGATACTATTTGGTGCTTTGGTATTGAGACATTAGAGTGATAAAAAGAAACAATACACGTTTTATGCTTTTGTGTAATAAAGAGTTTTCATGCTTCTCTTTGAAGTCTGAGATTTTTCTTATTAACAAAATTAAATAAAACAATAATTTTAAGAATTCTGTCACTGCTTTTCCCTGGTTTATTTGTACTTATTGAAAAGTTTATGTAACTACAGCAATAAAGTATACAACTAAAATCAACTTCCTTTTCTTTCCAAATTTAAGGCTTTTAAAAAAATATTTTTGAGTCATTTTCAGAGATGTGTGAAATTAACAGCAAAACTGCCCCCATTTGGGGATTATAATTTATGTTTGGCAAGACACATTAGATCTTCAGGTGTTGGAAATAAAAAATTAAATATAAATACAAAAGGATAAATGGTGAGTGATGCCACGTGGCCAAGTGAAATTACACAAGACTTGGTAATGAGATTACGATGTGAATCTTGAGACATAAGTAAAAACCTCAAACCCATATAAGGCCTGGAGCTGAAACTCAGCTACCCAAATTCAGTACCTCAGCCTCCCTAATGAATGTAAAGGATGTGTTGCCTGAAACAGTGAGATACATATTCAAATACAGTACACAACTGTAAATAACAGTTAGGGTAGTGGTAATGGTGCAGAGCAGTTGAGCCTCATCACTGGGGCTTAGCCTTGGAAGGGATTTTGGCTTTGCCCAGGAAAGAATTCAAAGGCCAGCTGATGGTGTTAGCAACTTTTATTGAAGTGGCAGTGTACAGCAGCAGCACAGGTACTGCTGTTTGCGGAGCAGGGCTACACCAGAAATAGTGTGCCCACAGTAGCAGCTCTGAGGCATTTCTGCAGTCATATTAATACCCAATTTTAATTATATGAAAATTGAATGGTGGACTATGTAGAGATTTCTAGAAAAGAGGTGGTAACTTCTGGGTTGTCCGGTGGTTGACATGGAACTTCCAGGTGTTGCCATGGCAATGGTAAACTGCCATGGTACACTGCTGGGCACGTCTTATGGAAAGCTGCCTCCACCCTGTCCCTGTTTTAGCTAGTCCTCAATTTGGTCTGGTGTCCCAGTCCCACCTCTGGAGTCAAGCCCCACCTCCTACCTCAGTACCCTATCTTCTGCCTATATATTTTTGTTGATAAACCAAAATATGCCCAAGATGAGCATGGGACATGTTCAAGTGGCGACTCACTTTGATCCTATTTGATCCTATCCCCACTTCCAACCAAACTAAAATGGGTCCTGGAGGTCCAGGATTTGTATTTGTTATATTTATGGCAGTCGCTTCAGTGGCTTACACAAAATTCTGCCTTACATAGAGTAGGTACTCAGTAAATTATTTGCTGAATGATTAAATTTTTTTTATAGTATAGAGAAATTACATGCAAAAGACAAATATCTAGACACACTAAAAAGACTGACAGGAGTGACATCATATCATGTAAACAAAATACAGATGTCCATAAATTTATTACAAAATTTGAGCTTATTTAAATTTTTTATGTCAAAATGAAGATTTATTCATTTCATAAGAAAAATTTATAGTTAATCTTACTCTCAAAAATAAAAATATAAAAGTTTTTACTTCAAAATTATAGTTTCTGTTGAAGGACTTACACAGATCTCTTAATGATTTCTAAGAAAAATTATTTCATTTCAGAGAAATTAAATTTTGTCCCAATTATATGTTGTTTTTTAGTATTTATGAATTTGACAGTTATTTTAACAGCTCACTTAAAAGTTTTCCTCTATATTGTTAGAACATTCTTGGCCTATAGCTCCTTGTTAATAATAATAATAATATCACGTCTGTAAAACCAACACTTTGGAAGGCCGAGGCGGGTGGATCACAAGGTCAGGAGTTCAAGACCAGCTTGGCCAACATGGTGAAACCTCATCTCTACTAAAAATAAAATAAAATAAAAAATTAGCCAGGCATGGTGGCAGGCACCTGTAATCCCAGCTACTCAAGAGGCTGAGGCAGAGAATTTCTTGAACCCAGGGGGCAGAAGTTGCAGTGAGCTGAGACTGGGCCACTGCACTCCAGCCTGGGTGACAGAGCGAGACTCCATCTCAAAAAATAACAATAATAAAATCAATAACAATACATAATGTGGTTAAAATGTAATTCTGTTTTAAATATCAATCTCAAATACATATTATTAGATCTCTCTCTTATTTTATTATATTTCCCTTGATAGTTAATTTGTAAATGTCTAATAAATTTGAAATGCTGACAAAAGTTAAATAACATGTAATGATCTTAACTGTAGTATTATCTTTAATAACTTAATTCAACTGCTGGAAAAATTAATTCATAGAGAAGGCATCATCTGAGAACAATTTCATTGTGTTAAATTGCTTTGTATTCAATATGCTCATTTAGGCATGCACACCTTTTCATTTAGGGGCATTCATCTTACAAAAGTTCACAAACTTAGAGCTTTGACTATGCTATTTTTGTTCTTGTTAAAATTCCAGAGCTAATACAGCTAAAAGAATTGCTTTAGGATTGGAGCATGAATACACACTTATCTCAATGATAATATCATGATTTAAATTAAATACATTTTACCATCTACTTCAGAATAATTACGGTTACGAATGACTACCTATTCTCAGTAACTTACTTCAAAGACATTGATTTTACCAATTAAACATTTCTATATATGTCTAAGAGCAAAACATTTTTAATCTGTGCCTCAGCTTTCTACAATCATTAATTTTAATGCTCATTGGTTATGTGCACACTTATTTTGTCCATGTTTTTTCACATCTATTTTTGAGCATTGGAGCAGAACACCCCAGCTCACAGCCTTTTAAGTTGAAATTTCTTTTGATACGATACAGAGTCACTGGCTAGTCACCTATTTGAATCAGATAGCACTTTCACCATTTATAATGTTTTGATCAGTAAAGGCAGAATTGGATATATTAAAAAAATTTTAAACTTTAATTAAAAATTATTTTAGTAAATTAAATATGGGTTGTATATTATTTTCTCATATCTCTTCTCTCTCCTCCTGTCTTTTTCCTAGTTAGCTTATACCTAATAATAGCATGTTAAACCATGTTCATTCATGTTATAAGTTTTAAATTCTAAGAAATGAATTCATTTGGAGAGAGTAACTGGAAATTTTAAAAGTAGTCATCACTACTTAATATAATATTTTATCAAGTGTTAAAAAAATTACTTTCAATAATTAATGTATTATGACCAAAGGGTCAACCTTTCTATTAGACTTTATTAGTCATACAGGAAATATCACTTTGGCAAATAAGCTTATGCAAAATGATTGAGTCAAAATTTTTTTGAGGGTGTTTAAACTTTAATCCTCTCTGTTTCAATCTGTCTTAATTATGATGCAAGATTATAACTAGCCCCTAGCAACAGCTCATGATTTTGCCATTAATGTGAATTAAGGAAAGTTATTTCATTTATCAAATATTTTACTTTGTATATTTACATGTCCACTTGAAAGTTATGTTTTATTTCATCATTGATAAGGTTTGGCTGTGTCCCCATCCAAATCTCAACTTGAATTGTATCTCCCAGAATCCCCACGTGTTGTGGAAGGGACCAAGGGAGAAGTAATTGAATCATGGGGGCAGGTCTTTCCCATGCTGTTCTCATGATAGTAAATAAGTCTCATGAGATCTGACAGGTTTAGCAGGGGTTTCCACTTTTGCTTCCTCCTCATTTTCTGTTTGCCTGACACCATCATGCAAGATGGGACTTGCTCTTCCTTGCCTTCTGCCATGATTGTGAAGCCTCCCCAGCCATGTGGAACTCAAAGTCCAATAAACTTTCTTTTGTAAATTGCTCAATCTTTGGTATGTCTTTATCAGCAGTATAAAAACAGATTAATAAAGTCAACTGGTATGAATAGAGTGAGGCATTGCTGAAAAGATACCTTAAAATGTGGAAACGACTTTGGAACTGGGTAACAGGCAGAGGTTGGAACAGTTTGGAGGCCTCAGAAGAAGACAGGCAAATGTGGAAAAGTTTGGAACTTCCTCGAGAGTTGTTGAATAGCTTTGTCCAATATACTGATGGTGATATGGACAATAAGGTCCAGGCTGAGGTGGTATCAGATGGAGATGAGAAACTTGTTGGGAAATAAAGTAAAGGTGACTCTTGTTATGTTTTAGCAAAGAGACTGGCAGCATTTTGTCCCTGCCCTAGAGATTTGTGGAACTTTGAATTTGAGAGAGATGATTTGGGATATCTGGTGGAAGAAATTTCTAAGTAGCAAAGCATTCAAGAGGTGACTTGGGTACTGTTAAAGGCTTTCAGTTTTAAAGGGAAGCAGAGCACAAAAGTTTGGAAAATTTGCAGCCTGATGGCAATAGGAAAGAAAACCCCATTTTCTGTGGAGATATCCAAGCCAGCTACAGAAATTTGCATAAGTAGCAAAGAGCCTAATGGTAATCCCAAAGACCATGGGGAAAATGTCTCTAGGCCATATCAGAGACCTTCACGGCAGCCCCTCCCATCACAGGCCTGGAGGAACAGGAGGAAAAAATGTTTTCATGGGCCTGACCCAGGGTCGCCATGCTGTGTGCAGCCTAGGGACTTGGTGCCCTGTGTTTCAGCTGCTCTAGCCATTGCTGAAAGGAGCCAATGTACAGCTCAGGTTGTGGCTTCAGAGGGTGGAAGCCCCAAGCCTTGGCAGCTTCCACATGGTGTTGAGCCTGTTGGGTGATCAGAAGTCAGGAATTGAGATTTGGGAACCTCCACTTAGATTTCAGAAGATGTATGGAAATGCGTGGATGCCCAGGCAACATTTTGCTGCCCAGCTGGTGCCTTCTTGGAGAACCCCTGCTAGGACAGTGCAGAAGGGAGTTGGAGCCCTCCCACAGAGTCCTTAATGGGGCACTGCCTAGTGGAGCTGTGAGAAGAGTGCCACCATCCTCCAGACCCTAGAATGTTAGATCCACCAACAGCTTGCACTGTGTGCCTGGAAAAGCCACAGACACTCAACAGCAGCTCATGAAAGCAGCTGGGAGGGAGGCTGTACCCTGCCAGGGTGAAGCTGTCCAAGACCATGAAAACCTACTTCTTGCATCAGCGTGATCTGGATGTGAGACATGGAGTCAAAGGAGATCATTTTGGAGCTTTAAAATTTGACTGCCTTGCTGGATTTCAAACTTGCAAGTGCCCTGTAACCCCTTTGTTTTGGCCAATTTCTCCCATTTGGAATGGGTGTATTTACCCCATACCTGTACCCCCATTGTATCTAGGAAGGAACTAGCTTGTTTTTGATTTTTCAGGCTAATTGGCAGGAAGGACTTGCCTTGTCTCAGATGAGACTTTGGACTGTGGACATTTGGGTTAATACTGAAACGAGTTAAGACTTTGGAGGACTGTTGGGAAAACATGATTGGTTTTGAAATGTGGGGACATGAGATTTGGTGGGGCCAGAGGTAGAATGATATGGTTTGGCTGTGTCCCCATCCAAATCTCAACTTGAATTGTATCTCCCAGAATTCTTACTTGTTGTGGGAGAGACCCAGGGGGAGGTAATTGAATAATGGGGGTAGGTCTTTCCCATGCTATACTAGTGATAGTAAGTCTCATGAGATCTAATGGGTTTAGCAGGGTTTTCTGCTTTTGCTTCTTCCTCATTTTTTCTTGCCTGCCACCATCCATGTAAGATGTGACTTGCTCCTCCTTGCCTTCTGCCATGATTGTGAAGCCTCTCCAGCTATGTGGAACTGTATTAAACCTCTTTCTTTTGTAAATTGCCCAGTCTTGGGTATGTCTTTATCAGCAGTGTGAAAACAGACTAATGCAATCATTAAGTATTTGGTTAGCGGTAAATCAAGTTAAAAATGATACTATTTGTAGAAAACCACTTTATAAAGGGCTAAGAAACTACAAAAATGTATTACTAAGTAAGAGGGAGAAATTGGTGGACATAAGTCACATATTTAAAGACAATGTGACCTATCACTTTTGAACTTTCCACTTCATTATTTTCCATAAATTAGTTTTCTTTTTTTTGGTCACTACATACTCTTCTTTTGGCTTTATTATTTTTTAATTATCAAAAATGTAAATAGTTTAATTGTTATGGCCTGGTAAGTTTATTCTCATTTGCCTACTCTGGGATCCAAACATATACATACACATATGTGCTGTCTGTATATGTGTCATATAAAATGAGAAAACAAAACCAAACAGAAAAGTTTTTAAATAAAATGTGTGTTTTTTTCTGAATTAAATTGATAGAACAGTGTGAAAAATATGTTCCTATTTAAAAATAAGCATATATTTAATACCAGGTGGTTTAAAAAAAGGCTTGTGAAAATGCCCCATATTATAATTTAAGAGATAATATCCATTTAATAAGGACAAAAAAGAATAAGGAATGAAAACTAAATAAAATCTACAAAAAAAGAAAGAATATGATCCATTATATATTAATCTTTCTTAGCAAAATAAGTTTTATATGTCTTTCCCAAGTTCAGGGTTTGCTTTCATTTTTAATGATTTTTTTTTTACTAGAAGTCCTCTTAAGTTTAGTGTAGACACTTTTATCTCTCTTTTTAAAATATATAGTGCTTTTGTATTTGTTATATAAAAACCTTTCCTTACTCCAGTGTCAGAAATATTCACTTTGTCCTTACTCTTATCAGTCTGTGAGATATCATTTAACTTTTGTTGCTGTCTTGATTTTGCAAACTAATTGCATCTTCCCAGGTTTATATGAGATGCTTTTTATTTCCCTTAAAATTCACCCAGAAATATATTGTTTCTTATTTATTAATTTTGCCTATTGTATCAAACATTTCTTAATGAGCTATTTGAGATCTCCTTGCCCTCAGTTTTTGTTTGTTTGTTTGTTGTTGTTGTTGTTGTTTTTGATTACCACAATAATCAGCAAGATGTGGGGTCTAGCTTACTTAATGAGAGCTTAACATACAAGGCCACCCAGAAATGCTGCAGAATTATTAAACTTTGGGGCCAATGTTTGACAAATGTGAGATAATAGCCATATATAAATTCTCTATTTTTATCTAGATGGACTGAATTTTAAAACAGTTTACATGAATATCATTTGTCAAAAGATGATCCCACAAAATAGAACAATCAATTGCACCTGATCGGGTTAGGCCAGGCTCAGTGGCTCACACATATAATCCAGCACTTTGGGAAGCCAAGGTGGGAGGATTTGGAAGATTGCTTGAGTTCAGGAGTACAAGACTAGTCTGGCCAATATAGCTAGATGTGGTAGCACATAGTGTTAGTCCCAGCTACTTGGAAGGCTGAGGTGGCAGGATTACTTGAGCCCAGGATGTGGAGGCTGCAGTGAGCCTTGATCCACCACTGCACTATAGCCTGGGCAACAGAGCAAGACCTTGTCTCAAAAAAAAAAAAAAAAAAAAAAAAAGGCGCTTTGAGTGAATTCTGCTTCCTTATCAGCCTCACTTCTATTTCCTGTTATTACCTACTTACATAACACAGTACCTCAGGCTTTGACTGAGGCTCTGATATTTGAGGAATCCAGTCTAAGACTTCTACTATACTTTGCTCACATATGATTTGAAAAAAATGTGTATTTTTTAGTTCATATTTCTATTCCAAAACTAAAATAATTTGCGCTATATTTTGTATGATGTTCTTTCTCCAAGAAAATATCTCTATATTATTTTGTATATTTACTGTCTGATTCTATAAGTCTTAGTTGAATGGGAGAAATGAAAAATAAAACCAGCAGTAATAAGAAATCAACTTAAGCAAACTAATTATTTTTCTAAATATTACATTGCATGAGAGTCTGCAAAATATACAAGATACTGCAGAAACCCAAATTAGTACCCTAAGGAACAGATATGAAAAAAAAACGCAGAAGGTAGAAGAAGAAAGTTTGTTTTCTGAAGTAAATTTTCAAATATATGCTCTTTATCACTTAAATGATATATTAATCACAAACTGTTACTGTTTTGTTTTGTTTTGTTTTGTTTTGTTTTGTTTGATACGGAGTCTTGCTCTGTTGTCCAGGCTGGAGTGCAGTGGCACAATCTCAGTTCAGTGCAACCTCCCCTTCCGGGTTCAAGCAATTCTTGAACCCAGAATTGGGTTCTGGTTCTTGCCTAGGCCTCCCCAGTAGCTGAGACTACAGGCATGTACCACTATGCCTGGCTAATTTTTGTATTTTTAATAGAGACAGGGTTTCACTATGTTGCCCAGGCTGGTCTAGAATTCCTGACCTAATGAATCGCCTGCGTCAGCCCCCCATAGTGCTGTCATTACAGGCGTGAGCCACTGCACCTGGCCACTTCTTATTTCTTAGAAAAGCCTACTTAAACGTTATTTCTACCAGGATGATGTCTGAGTAAATATATTTGTAAATTACTTTGCATTCACTAAATACTAGCGAATTATAAAACTGGGCTTTATAAAGGGGTATAGGTTTATTTTTTCCCACATATTTAAATTGAGCACAAATTTTCGGTAGCTGTGTTTCTAATCATAGAAATAACAAAATGCTTTACTTGTCTTCCATCTATGACACTTTCAATGTATTCATGCAAAAAATATAATTGCTCTAAACTGGAAATAATATTGCTGCATATTATATAGAAAAGTTAAAAGAATATGGCTCCTTGAAACAAATTACTTCACACATAATGAGGTACTAAAGCATTTTTGTTGCTGTTCTTACCGAGCATGCAGAGTGACTTTACTATTGCTAAAATATAAATGAAACGTGACAAATTAAAAAGTCTGGTTAATACTCTGAAATTGCGTTAAATTCCAAAACATATTTTTATGATCCAAACTGTGGGACTTGCAAACAACTATCTGTAATGTATTAAATAAACAAGTAAGTCAAATTTTACCACTTTATCTTTAAAATAATTGAGCCACCTTTCTTTTGTGGTTACTTACATTCACTTTTAAGCTATGCCAAGAGCCTGATTTTAGTGTCCTGACCACTGATTAGAAAATTTCTGCAGAATATACTGGAAACAATTTTATCTAATGTACTTTAGTGTACATTAGAGTTTTAGAACTATTTTAAACAGAATATATACAGTCTTTTTGTTTCTGCACAAGTTACTTAATAAATTCAAAAATTAATAGCATAAATATAGAGTAGCAAAAGCAGGCAAGATTTCCTCCAAATGGTTGAAATTAAAATAAACGATAATGGAAAAACAGGTATCATGCGATACTCTGTGAAGGAATAATCAATTTTATTTTGTTGTAGCCAGAAATACGTATCTTGAACCAAATAATGAGGAAGAAAAACAGAAAACAACTGAAGTCAAATTGAAATAACTGTTATTACTGAAGCCCAAGAAGACACGACAAGACTGAGGAAAGTTTCCAGATTAAATGAGATCAAATGAGCATGGCAAACAATGGCAAGCCTTTGTCTTGATTGAATCCTTTTGGGTAAAGCAAATAAAATTGGAAATTGTTGTAAAATTTGATGAAATTCTAATATATACTTCAGGCTAAAGTGTTGTGCCAATGTTACATTCTCTAAACATGATAACTATAGCATTGTTACTTAAATAAAATACTTTGTTTTTAGGAAATACACATAAACTATTAAGGAGTAAATGGGCATACTAGAAATTGCTGAACCTGGGCAAAGTGTATATGAAATTATTCGTTTGTTCTACTGTCCTGAATGTTAAAAGATATAAATAGAAATCTAAATAAAATAAAATGCATAACTTTAGAATTCAAAAGTTCTTAGCAATTGAAGTGTAGGTATCCCAGTTTGGATTATTTATTTTCCTTTTAAAAGTATGTGCATTTTCTGAATTTTTAAAGAGGGATATGGCAGGTTTATTTTCATAAGATCTTGGCAGAATCCATTTTATTCAGAAGTTTATGCATTACATTTTTCATGTATCCTTACAACCTTTATTTGTAAGGTTACCATAAAAATTAAAAGAAACAGTGAAACAAAAAATGAAGCATATGAAAATATAGAAGAAATCTTCAAATCAGGAAAAAATAAAAATAAACCCCACGTTATTTCAATATAGTTGTTATTAACCATGTACTTTAATGATTATAACTTTATTCAAGGATATGAAAGGAATATAAACTAAAGATATGCAGAATTAAAGAGTTTAAACAAATAATTAGAACCTAATTATTCTAGAATTTGAAGAATATCTGAGATCAAGAAATTACTGGATATGTTTAATGGCAGAATATAGGACTGTTAGTCTGAAAAACTACAAAATGAAGAAATAAGCATAAGAGAGCTGTGGAATACCAGAAAAAGCTCTAAGTCTAAATGGAATGCTAGAATGAAAGTGATATTGAGGCAAAATAGATATTCAAAAAGGTAATGTCTAATGATTTTCCAGAACTGAAGAAAAACTTTAAACCACAGAATCTAGCTTGGGAGTCTCCATAAAGGAAAAATACAAAGAAAACCACGCATAGATATACCATGGTCAAACTTCCTAAGACAAAAAATTAATGTAAAATCCTTATAGTAGCAAGGATAAAATGACAAGCAACTTTAACAAAAACAATAATAAAATGGTTTACTTTTCAACAGAAACCACGTATGTTAACAGTCAAAGGAAACACATTTTAAATGTTAAAAGAAAAATCATAACCTAACATTACTATCAAAATCCATATTCATATAAGGTAAAGGTAAATTATATACATTTTCTGATAAATTATGTTAAAATACAAAAGCCTGGACATAAAATTTTTAATATTAAAAACACATAATGTGTTTTTCCATATTTTGCGAGAAAATATGGAAAAAAATGAAACCAAAAAAGGCATATGGAAAAAATAAAGATGAGCACAGTAACAAACGAATAAAGTAGAAAAAAAAGCTAAATATGGTTCTTTCAAAAGATTACTAACATGATGAATACCTTTAAAGACCAATCAAAACAAAAAGTTGATTACACACCATATTGCAGAGCTACAATAGCTTTGTAGTAAATGTGATCTTAATATGAACATATGTCAGGAGGAAAATGAAACATAGGCAAGGAAAAGACATATTCATTGTTTTTAATAACCAAAATACACCTAGAGCTGTTGTACAGATCATTATTGTCTGGAAGCATGATCAATCCAGATTTGCACTGTGGTTTGGTGTGTTGTGATAGCATATCAAGTTTTAAGTTATAGTCATTTTAATCTATATGAGGATCCGATTATTTCATTGTTATTACATAATTATTTATTGGGTTAGTTGGCAAAACAACAGCTATATTACAATATTTAGGATTCTGGAGATCACACCAGTGTACATGACAATGATCATAGAAATTAACAAGAGCATAATTATTAAAAACCGGAGGACCCTTCTGAGCCCGTCACCTTTGTTTCACAAACCCCACCAATGAGCTAGGTCTAAGGCAACCTAGAAGAAATTTCTTGCCTTGGTGTCAGTCTGTTTGAGAAGTCATCTATTTTTCAAATTTTAGTATTTCTACCTAAAATTTATTTGACAACTTTAAAGGTTTTAGAAATGCCTCTAGGACTATAAGTACAAAATCCTTCACCAAAGACAGCAAAATAACTTGCCTGTAAGACTTAATAAAGATAGATGATGGTTCTGTTATATTCAGCTACTTGCCCATTTTTGACTAGTGTACTATTAGGTATGTCAATAATTGTTTTGTTGGAATTGCCTGTGACTGGGTAATTCTTTTTTATGACATGAATAATCCTCCTAGCTTTTTGAACTTCTTTCATAGCTTGAATTGAGGCAGCACTGGAACAGAAAATGGCAGTTTAAAATCCTTTATTTGTGAAAAGGTGGAATGATTTAGCACTCATTTGTTAAGTTCTTATTGATCTAGAATATCATCTTTTTCCATAATTAGTCAGCTACATTTCTCCACTTTCATACCTTAATGGTTTGTATCTGTGAGGATCCCCAAAGAGGCTGTGAGTTCTAACTGGCCCTGTGAGATAAACTTGAGGCAATACTCCAAGGTAACATGTACTCACTAGACCTGAGTAATATGTTATTTTTCTGGGAAACCAAATGTAACTCAGTTCCACAAATGCAGTATTAAAAATTAGAAGCTACACTTGAATAATTTTCTTGCCAACATGTTGCAGTTGAATTATTTAGCAACTTTGTTTCCATTTTGCATTATATAAAGAAAGTAGTTTCCACCCATGCACCTACTCCCTAACCATATCCCCAGCTAAAGATGAGGGAATAAGAAAGGACATATCATGTCCTTCGACTCAGTGTCTCCTGTTAAGCTTTCCTCATGGCACAGCCATATGAAGGCAACTGTGTTTGCCATCAGTAGTACCCACTCCATTGTTTACTTTTGTGTATATGACATCACAATGTATGAAGGAGATAGGAGCATGCTACTTCAAATGTGCTACTTTCGCATGTTAGTCATTTTGAGCTGAAAGCATTTGGGAAACATCAGATGCAGGGAAGGCTCTCTAATCTATTCTTTTCTACCTAAGAAGAGGCCATAAAATATCTCATGAGAAAGGTATTCTCCCCATACCAGAATGAGAACATCCTTATCACCAGAGACTGGGTATCAACACTGAAATGAATCTGTACAAACAAACTTACCAAAATAACTCTTACCTTCAACTAATTTTACCCTCCACCCCCATTATTTGTCTCCTAGTCACTTCTAGGAGTGAAAAAAACTTATTGCCCCAAGCACCTTTGTCTTGTATTTGATCACAAATTTAACATTTCTTTGTCTAAGAGGTTAACTAGCTTTCTGATCTAGTGACTTCTTTGAGTATTCAAGGTCCCATATATGTATAAACATTTAATAAAACAGAAGCATTTCTCTTATTAATTGGTCTTATGTCAGTTTAATTTTTACACCCAGCTGAAAATCATAAGAGAGCAGAGGATTTCTTTTTCTCCTCAAGAAGTACATTAAGCCTGCCTTCTTCACATCTATAATTATCTTGACTTTAGAAAAGTCATGAAGGACATTTTTCCATGCTTTGTCTCAGAATGAGTATTTGGATCTTTCTGACAACAGTATAGAGACTAACGAGTCTTTAAAGAGAAATGGAAGCATATTTAAAAACTTGTATTTTTCCGGGCATTTCAGTATTCAGTGGATCATTTGTAGCCCACTAGTGCTACCATACCATAAAATAACCAATGGCATCTATAGAAATAAGAAAAAAAAAAGGTTAGCATGAAAGAAAAATTTTCCTCATTTACATGACAAGAAGTGAGCACCAAAGAAGGCTGAGTAGAATGACTGCACTAAGAAATAAAACACAGAACAGAACTAAAACCAAACACAAGTAAAATGATACAGAAAGAAACAACAACAGAAAAGACAATGTCTTGATCTAGTGTCTTAGGTGGAAGATGTGTATAGGTGGAAGATGTGTACCTCACTCTGTGGTCAGCCTGAGTTATGTTCTTGGGATAACTCTTATAATTTCCAATGTCTTAGGTTTACAGAGGACTTTCTGAGAATCTATAGTTTTAAAGCTCTCATTGGTATAAAGACATAGATGATGACGAGTGAAAATTTTTTGTCTTCTCAGATGAAATTCATGAATCCAAGGCCTTATTTCTTGGTGAGTAACTACTATGCCAGTAGTTGAAAGTATAAGTTGTTTTTTTTTTAATGTGATCCCAAGAAATATTTTTTATGTCTTTTCCAGAAGATGAAGTCCCCAGGTTTTCAAGCATGTGGAGGCTACCTGGAAGTATCCTGAGGAAAGGCAGGTTGTATTTCAATGCCTTATGGCTCAATGTATTTCCTAGGTCCCCTCAATACTTTGTCACGTCGTCTTGAATGAATGTGGAGTTCAAAATTAGGGGAAAAAAATACTGAATGTCATAGAATGACTCCTGATTAGTTTTATGTGAGAAGCAATGGTTGTTGGAGATCATAAGGTCCATAGGTATCACAGTCGTGTCAGACTGTTTGACAGTACAAATTTAAAATTTCTGTTGGTTTTCTGTAAGCTTCCTGAAAATTGAGGTGAAAAAAAAATACAATGTCTTTACCAGTGGCAAGGCCTCCCAAAGCTCTTTCCTGCTGTCTCAACAAAGTGGTTGCCCTTGTCATTAGCATAAGAGGTTGGAATTTCTTAGGATGAAAACTCAAAATATAACAACATTTTTGCTTCCACCATGACCATACCTGTCCAGCAAGGTAAGTTTGCAATTCATCTTTAGAATAAGAAAACAATTTATTAAAATTTTATCCCAGGCATGGTTTTATGAAATCTATCTAGAGGTTTTTAAAAGAATCCTGAAGCTTGGGTTCTTTCCATGTTATTCCCTTGCAGTTTAACAATATTATGTTGGTGATATATGAGAGATTCACCAGAGATAGCCTTAGTAATATTGGTAAAGTTTGCCCAGTGACGTTGATTGAATAAGTGGATTTTTTTTTTTTTTTGGCCTATGGTGAGTAATTTGATGCAATGTTTTTTTGTTTGTTTGTTTGTTTTTGGTTTTTTTTGCAAGACTCCATTTGATGCTATGTGGTGTTATCAAATGTGCTAAAAAGGCTGGTGGCGATTAGAGATTACAATTATGTTTTCCCAAATATCTCCTTCCAGATTCTGGAGAAATTGTTGACATTTCATAATGGGCTCTTTGAAACTCTCCAAAAAGCATTTTGGATCATTATAGGACAAGGTCAGTGAATGCTGCCTACATGGTATAATGATCAGCAAAGACATTTCTTCTCTATTATTCTTTTTCGTATGAGCCATTATCTTTATAGATTTAGGCAGTGTAGTGCTTGAATATCTTTAACATGTTTGTCAGTCTTAATGAAGATTCAGCTGAAATCAATAAATCCTGTTATTTCCACAACATTCCAAATTATGGACTATGTTAAAAAATAATAATAATAATGAAATTTAAAAAGCATTTCTCCTATCAGGAAATACATTACCTTCTTAAATTTTTCATTTCAATTTATCAATTAATTAATATTTACCGAGACAGGGTCTTGCTCTGTTATCCAGGTTGGAGTGCAATTGTCTTATAATGGCTCACAGCAGCCTCGATCTTCCAAGATCAAATAATCCTTTCACTTCAGCTTCCCAAGTTGCTGGGACTACAGGCATGCACCATCATGGCTAGCTAATTTTTTAGTTTTTTTGTAGAGATTGGGTCTTGCTATGTTTTCCAGCCTGGTCTTGAACTCCTGGGCTCAAGTGATCCCTTAGCCTCTGCCTCCATTACAGATATGAGCCACTGAACCTGTCCTCTCTTATTTCTCAATATTCAGCAAGCTGCAATGAATGACAGGAGTTATGCAATCCAAACAGAGTTTGTCCGGTGAGAAGAAATATCCTAGGGGTTAGTTAACATCTTTTTTATTGTGTCCTGCCTATTATTTTCATGTTCCTGTCATAAAGTATTGCATCTCAAAATGAAAGACTAAATAAAGTTTCCAGTGAACAGATTTTTGATAAATGTACCTGGAATATGAACAGTTTTACATAGAGATAGGAGAGCACTTATGAATTTCCTCTTATTTTGGTAGTAAAAGAAAAGTTGGATGGAAATGTGTGAGGACGAAAATGGTATAAGAATTTTTGCTTCCTAGGTATAAATCATGCCCTAGAGAATTTATTTATTTTTATAATAGTAAAATGTAAATTTGGAATTTTAAGATTCTTTCTGAGCTAAAACAGCAGATAGGTTGCTGTAATCAGTTTTAGATACTCACCTCATATAAGAACATACCAATACGCCATTTGCATATTTGGACAAAAATAGAATTTAAGGGAGATTGAAGAGTCTTCAAAGTTCTGGCTAAGGGCTTATAAAAACTAGAAAAGTACTTCAATGAACTCCTGAGATGTAACTGTCCTGGTATATTCTTCTGTTTTCTGTAAAAAAGAAAGTGGATGTTTACTTTTTGTTGTAAAGAGACACTAATTGTAAAGGATATAGGCCAGGAGACAGAGAATATAAGTGGGTTATTAGAAACAGACTCTGAGGCACAATTTATGTAAGAGTGTCAGGAGTTTAAGGTAGATATTCCCTGTCTATATCTATCAAAGTGTGTAGGGTTTTCATTTAATATTTAGGGTGTCAGGAGTTTAAGGTAGATATTCCCTGTCTATGTCTATCAAAGTGTGTAGGGTTTTCATTTAATATTTAGGCAATTTTTTGTGTGTGTGAGTGTTTAGGATAAAATAGGAAACGGGGCACTTGGTTCTCACTAACAGCTTCATTAATCAGCTGCCTAATTTTATTTATCCTTCAGCTTCTTATTGAACACAGTATATGGACAATTGTTTACCCAAAGTTGTTTTCTGCTTACAATTCTACAAGTATCTTTACCAAAATGCTCTCTTCCTTGGTATATAATGTCTAGATGGAAGCAGGTACCTGTTTTGTATATAAGGTCATCAACATCGATTTTTCCTGGGTCTTATTCTCTTTTTATTCTAAGGCTCTCAAACTACTCAGAAAATAATTGGAGATTTGGCAGGAGGATTATTTCCCATTCCAGGTATTGCTGCATTTAAAATTTTCTATTTCTGGCTTAAGGTTGGTCACACACCATGAAGAGAAAGGTTGAGAACATCTGTTTCAGAATTTACACCTGATTGTTACATAAAAGTATTAAATAACCTGTTCCTGAAGTCTGCTAAGGAACTATCATTTTGTTGGCAGAACTATATTAAAATATAATCTAGTTTCACAATAAAGAAGTTGGAAAGAGGCTCCAAAGACATTGTCTATCTTTTAGAAACCAGTTTAAATTCTTATGTAATAAGAAATTTCTTAAATCAGTCTTAGGATTTTTCTGCTCAGCATTTGCCATCCATTATTTGCATGTGAAGTTCTTTGTGTTTCTAGAACTGTTATAAATTATTCTATAAATTCCCATCCATCTTTCTAGGTTTTGGACTCAACTAGCCTTTGCCTGTGGGCGGTGGCTCACACCTGTAATCCCAGCACTTTGGGAGGCTGAGGTGGGCGGATCATGAGGTCAGGAGATCGAGACCATCCTGGCTAACATGGTGAAACCCTGTCTCTACTAAAAATACAAAAAATTAGCCAGGCACGGTGGCACACTGCTGTAATCCCAGCTACTTGGGAGGCTGAGGCAGGATAATGGCTTGAACCCGGGAGGCGGAGGTTGCAGTGAGCCGAGATTGTGCCGACGTACTCCAGCCTGGTGACAGAGCAAGACTCCATCAAAACAAAAAAAATGTTTTAAAGAGCTTGTTCTATTTTAATTATGGTTTAACTTTAGCAGGTCATTAAGCATTGGGAATTGGGAATTTCTGGGTGGTCAGCAGGGTTAGTCAGATGGAAGAGTAGAAGCAGAGTGATGGAAATATAAAAGCCATTATGTCCAATTTATTGTTTGGGTATCTAAAAGAGAGGTAGATTTAAGTTTTGCACATTTTTTAAAATTTGCCTTGCTGACAGAATTTAAAAAAAAAAAACAAAAAACTGTAATCTGAGTTTGTTTTGAAGCATTCTCATTTACATCAAAATGCAGACCAATGGATGTTTGAGATTTTGCCGTTTTTCATTTCAAGGTGTATTTCAAAATAATACTTTTGTATAAGTTCATTATTGGTGAGCACAATAAGAAAATGGTTTAGTGAGCAATCTATTTTTTGACAAGTGTATGATTGATATGGTTTGGCTGTGTCCCCACCCAAATCTAATCTTGAATTGTAGCTGCCATAATCCCTACGTGTTGTGGGAGCTACTTGGTGGGAGGCACTTTAATCACGGAGGCAGTTTTCCCCACATTCCTGTTCTTGAGATAATGAGTGAGTTCTCATGAGATCTGATGGTATTATAAGTGGATTTTTCCCCTTTTTCTCAGCATTTCTCTTTGCTGCTGCCATGTGAAGAAGAATGTGTTTGCTTCCCCTTCCTCCATGATTGTAAATTTCCTGAGGCCTTCCTAACCATGTGGAACTGTGAGTCAGTTAAACCTCTCTCCTTTATAAATTACCCAGTTTCGAGCAGTCCTTTTTAGCAGCATGAGAATGTACAATTTTTTTCCTTTTTCTTTTTTTAGTGTACAGTTTATTGCCCCATAAGGTAATGATTGCCCAGAAGAATAAACTGCCTGAATAAACTGTTTTTTAAGAATTTTCCAGAGCAAATTTTAAGATTATTTAGTGATTTATGAACTTATTTTCTGGATAAGTATTTTCTGAAATAAACACCTAAAACTTACAATTATGAAGATTGTCTAAGTCCCAATAGTTGAATTATATTCATGGTCTTAATTCCACAGAAAAGTCAACTTTTTGATAATGAAAGTAGGTTATTTGTATCATTTGTGTCATTTGCTCTTAAACTTACTTACAAATCAAAGGTTGACTTTGCATACTATGTGGCCGAGACCTTTTCCAGGTCTAGGAAACACATAAATACTGTGTAGTAAAGAATGTAGCCATTCCCAAAGAGAAGTCTGGCCTTTGCCCTCAGCTCCTGGGAGAAATCACTAATGCCTTTGAAAGTCCTGCTTAATAAAGTGTTTGTTTGCTTGGGGCCTTGGGCATGCCAGGTAATCTAACAATATGATATATGGTAGAGACTTTGGGTCATACGGCATCAGCTGGACCACTGGAGGGCCTGGAGAGTGAGGTTAGCCATGTAGTGACAGAGCCCGATAAAGACTCTGGGCATCATGTTTTGAGTGTGCTTTCATGGTTGCTACAGCTACACATATATCATGACATATAATTGCTTGATGAAGTTAATTCCATGTGTTCTTTCTATGGGGAAAGTACCACTGGAAAATCTATGTTTGGAACCTTCTGAATTCTGCCCATGTGATTCTTCCTTTGGATGACTTTATTCTGTGTCTTTTCACTATAATAAAACATAATCATGAGTATGACAGTTTTCAGTCAGTTCTGTGAATTCTTCCAGTGAATTATTGAACTTAAAAATGGTGTTAAAAATCCCCAAATCTGTAGCTGGTGTCAGAAGTGAGGATGATCTTGTGGACTCTTTCATAATTTCACATGCAAATATATACGTATTTATATACACATATATATATTTGCCTTTCTCACATCTAATATATGAGATAGATTTATAAATCATGTTACTCTTTCAGATGCTACATAGTGCATGTTTGTCATGCCTATGTATCAGGAACTCAATCACATATATCTGAAAATTCAACTATTATAAAAATATTATAGAAGCTTTTATTTGAGAATGAATACTAAAATTCATTAGTTATTCTCAGATTTTCTAATTTAAGTTAAAATTTATTCAATGGCACTGGCTAAAGCATGGTAAGGCAAAATGTAGTCAGGACCACCTCAGCAGATATAGGAACCACTCTAATGGGATTTTGCAGTGGGCGAGAGAGAGTGTGCTTAACTCCAAACACAGCATGGGCAAGTGGGAATTCACATCCAAAGAGCAGGGTGAGGATCAGTGGATGGAAAATTACTAAGAGGAATCATCAGAAATAAAGGGGATTCTGGCTAAATGGATTTTCAACAGGATTCTTGCTGAAGACAGGCCAGTGTGTGCAGATATCACTTGAGAGATTGTAGAGAATAAGAAACCTGATCAGATATTCAAGGTGATCAGATACTGAGTGGGGTGTTCTTGCTGAACCGACAGTAGAGTTCTTGTTAAAACGGAATTTTTAAGTGAAGTGCACAGATGTGCTTAGGACAAGTTTCAGGAGTCAGAGAAAAAAATCTTTGTGTGTGTTTGTGTGTGTGTGTGTGTGTGTGTGTATATATATATAAAACTGTAGTTTAGTCAAAAATATGTAAAATATTAATACGAGCTCATTTAAATGCCTCCACATAGTTAAATTTCTATGCATTGTTGTTCCTCTGCCTCATTCTAAATGTTAATTTGAAAAATTTCTCTATTATATTTGCCAATATTTCTTATAGAAGGAACTTCATGACCAATTATTTCTTTAATTGAAAATAAAAGAAACCAATCTTATCAATACAAAGAAAAATGAATCTGGAGAGGATATTGTTTCTGAAAAAAATTTATTAATATTATACTAAATGCCAATGCAAGTTTTCTGAAACAGAGCAGATGATTATTTGCTCACAGCAAATAATGCACCAGTTTTCCTGTGCCACCATGTCAGGGTGCCAATCTCCTATTCCTTCCAGGATGATGTAATGAAAATGAGATGTCATCCTAATATACCAAGTTGGTATTAGAGTGTAGGAACTGTGCATTTATTAGGAATGAGAGGAAACTGCTGTCCCCACTTTCCCCTTCCGAGAAAGTCTTCATAGAAATATAATGAGAAGGATCCTAAAATATTATACTTTAAAATGTAAATAAATCTCTTCAAGGGAAGGAGATAAGACTAGAGTCTCCAGCTTTACCAATCAGGAATATCTATAGGGTCCCAGGGATCTCAGGCTGCTTTGAAAATATAAACATATACCTCTAGAGTAGTAAATCTCCTTGGTGTTCTCACTGGCTATGAAGTCATTAATTAAGTTCTAAGCCTTGTCTTTTAGCACTGTTCTCAAATTGTACTAAAATTTTTCAGGAAGACTTAGTTATACAGAAACATAAAAAATATTTACAGCCTCCAAATGGGTAACATCTGACTCCTTTCTAATATTTGGTTAGCTTTTGTTTTGTTCTAATAATTATATAATCTACATTTTTGAATAGCAGTTACAAACACAATGGATAAGTAGACCTTCAACAGAACATCTTACATGTGGCTAAATGAATTCTGAATTAATTCCACTCTAAATATTTGTCTCTTGAAAAGTGTCTGTTCATATCCTTTGCCAAATTTTTAATGGGGTTGTTTTGCTTTTGTAAATTTGTTTAAGTTCCTTATAGATGCTAGATATTAGACCTTTGTCAGATGCATAGTCTGCAGATATTTTCTCCCATTCTGTAGGTTGTCTGTTTACTCTCTTGATAGTTTTCTTTTCCTGTGCAGAAGCACTGAAGTTTAATTAGATGCCATTTGGCAACGAATAAGCATATGAAAAAAGCTAAATATCACTGATTATTAGAGAAATGCAAATCAAAACCCACAATAAGATACCATCTAACACCAGTGAGAAGGCTATTATTAAAAAGTCAAAAAACACCAGATGTTGGCGAGGTTGCAGAGAAAAGGGAACACTTATATACTGTTGGTGGGAGTGTAAATTATTTAAATTATTTCAGCCATTGTGGAAAGCAGTATGGTGATTCCTCAAAGAGCTAAAAGCAGAAATACCATTTGACCCAACAATCCCATTACTGGGTATATAACCGGAGAGATCTAAATTATTCTACCATAAAGACACACGCACAAGAATGTTCATTACAGGACTATTCATGACAGCAAAGACATGGAATCAACCTAAATGCCAATCAATGACAGATTGAATAAAGAAAACATGGTACATCTACACCATAGAATACTATGCATTCACAGAAAGAATGAGATCATGTCTTTTGCGAGAACATATATGGAGCTGGAGACTATTATCCTTAGCAAACTAACACAGGAACAGAAAACCAAATACTGCATGTTCTCACTTGTAAGTGGGAGCTAAAAGTGAGAATATACGAACACAAAAAAGAGAACAACAGACACTGGGATCTACTTGAGGGTGGAGTGTAGGAGGTGGGAGGAGGGAGAGAAGCAGAAAAAATAACAATTGGGTACTAGGCTTAATACCTGGGTGAAAAATAATCTGTACAACAAACCCCCATGACATAAGTTACCTATGGGCAGAGAGCTAGGGATGGGTGCTGCTGATTGGATGAGGATGAAATCACAGGGGTGTGGAAAAGAGTTCTCCTGCATGGAGTCCACATCTGGGTGTGGACAGGGAACAGGTTGAGTCATAAGTCATGGGTCTGGGTAGATTCTGTCATTTGCCAGAATGTAGACATCTAAAAAATATTTTCAAAAGACCTATATTAGGTTCTAATGAGACAGTCAGGTGGGAGGAGGTCCCTAGAGCAACTCCAACCAGCTTATCCAATGGGGTGGGGCCTCAGGAAGTTCCCTCCATTAGCATCAAGGAGGAGCCTGGCTCCTACTCTTCCTGTGGGGAACCTGCGATTCAGGCTGCAAGTATGGAGCACTCTATCAGGGACTCTGGCCTAGCTAGAGTTCCTGTTTCCCCCCTTTCTTCCTTTTCGCCCAATAAAACTGTCTTACTTACCATTCAAATTGTCTGCGAGTTTGAATTTTCATGGCTATGGGACAAAGAACTCTGTCTTCAGCTGAATCAAAGAAAAGTCCTACAACAGTTCTGGCATGCAAGGTGGTGCTCAAGAAGTGTTGAGTGAAATATGGACTCAAAACCTCTCACCGTTACCTTTTTATCCTCAGACTTCCGAGGATGAGGGAACCAGGTCCCCAATACCTGTGCCTCCCCCACCTTCCCACTTCATTCCTGGGCCTTTTTATGGCCCGTTCCTTTTTTTGGGGGGAACTAACCTTCCCCTCTTCGCCATGGCTAGAACGCATGGCCCAAGGGTCCCTCTGGTGGGCGTTTTCCACCACTCGCCACCAGAGCCTTCCCCTTCTCCAGCCAAGGGGCTTTACTGCATCAGACAGTAATTAAGCTTGTCTCTTGGTGGAGGAACCAATGGCATAAGAATAAGAGGTTCTTCTCCAGGCATTTTTAAACCCCTTCTCTACCCCACCAGCAATAAGTTTTAAGCAAGCTTTTTTTTTTTAAATTTTAGAAGATGCTTACTAGGCCAGGGCCCCTCAACTATCACTGTTTATATTGTCTGTAAAGCTTTAATTGTGAAAAGGGACTTGTGGGCTAGTCTTGGGCTATGGCCAATCTAGTGTGCCTTGTGTATCTGTATGGTTTGTGCTGCAAACCTCCATCTTGATTTACCTGCTGGGGGAATGGCCAGTAACTGCTTGGCAAGGCTTTGTTCAGCAATCCTGCCTTAGGGAATGAGCTCTCTCTGGTCCCATATCTGCATGTTTTCCTAGCCTTGTCTTTTATAGTGCCCCACCCAGCAACTGGGTTTTCTCCTGCCTGTGTGTGTACTGTGTGTGATGTCTGTAAAAAGAGCACTAATTAATTTGGCCTAAAGAAAGACAAGCACTTGGATGAATTATTTTTTTAAAGTTAAACACTGTGGTACCTTTCAGTTCACATGACTTTAATCTTTGAGAAATAAAAACATCCCTTAAAACTACTGGTAAAATGCAGGTCAGATGCAAGGTTTGCTAAGTGTTTTAAGGTTACAAACTGCTTTTTGGGTTTTGGGAACTGTCTGTATTGCCAGCTTCACAGCTGGTAAGGCCTGAGGACATGAAGAACTAACCACGCCCTTAATTAAGGAGGCAAAACCTGACTGCATTCAGCACACAGTTAAAACAACTTACCATGTTTTACATTAAAGTTAAAAATTGCTAGGCATTACCATTACAACATGCAATTGAAACTATTAGAAATAGATTTACATTCAAGGTGGGTAAGAACAGTAAAATGTATATTTTAGTAAAAGGTTATAAGAAAACATGGAAGTGTAGTTTTTCCTAGGGTTAAAGGATTGTTTTGACGTAGATAGGGAAAAACTGAAGGTTCGAACAAGTGGTGGAACAATTTTGGAAATTAATCTTGCAGAAGAGGTTCTCTATGTGAACATATTGACTGAACTCAAAAGGGTATTATATGGTTTTTCTGTAAATTGATCATTGAAATAAAAACACAACACACTAGTTTTAAAATGTTAATCTGCTCTTTGGCAAAATATATAAAGGGTTATAAAAGGCTTTTGCTTCTTTCAAATTTCTGGGTCATCATTTTGTTACCGGTGGGTCTTTGTTCTTAGAGCTCCCAAGATGGTGGTGGGCTGCTCCCAAGATGGCAGCAAGCCTTTTGTTCTCTGACCTGGGGTTCTTGGCCTCACGGATTCCAAGGAATGGAACCTTGGGCCATGCGTTGAGTGTTATAGCTCTATTAGAAGCTGTGGGTCATGGAAGAGAACCGTGGAACCCATCGACTAGTTGGGTTCCTAATCAGCTCGATTAGGATGAATCCGGGCACTTAGACTCACAGGAACAGTGGTGAGCCTCTAGCCCGATTGGGAGCAGCAATGGGCGCCTTGCTAGATCAGAAGCCAGTGGACCCTCTGCTGGATCTGGAGGGGTGGAAGTCAGCGGCGGGTCTGTGACGACAGTGATCAGCAGTGGTGGACAGTGAGTGAAAGCTCAGCCCAAGCCAGAACAAACACGGATCAGAAGAGTGTGCAGTTGCAAGATTTAATAGAGTGAAAACAGAGCTCTCATACAAGGGGAGGGGACCCAGAGGGGGTTGCCACTGCTGGCTCAAATGCCTGGGTTTATCCTGATCATTGTCCCTCCCCCTGTGCTCTCAGGGGATAGATGACTGGCTATTTCTTTACCTCCTGCTTTTAGCCTAATTGGTGTTTTAGTGAGCTCTCTTTACTACCTGATTGGTCGGGTGTGAGCTGAGTTACAAGCCCCTTGTTTAAAGGTGAGTGCAGTCACCTTCCCCAGCTAGGCTTAGGAACTCTTAATTGGCCTAGGAAATTCAGCTAGTACTGTCTCTCAATTTTGGCAAAATAAATATCTTATGGTAATCTGAAATTCCATTTCATCACATCAAGTTTTTAAAACTTACATATTTAACAGCCTTCCCAAAATCAAACTTAAGTTTCAAAATTGCCTTTCCTGACACCTGGCTTTTTGGATACTTCGCAGGACTCTTAAAGTATCCAAAAAAGAGAGGTAAATAGGGTCATTTAACATATTTAGGTACATGGGATTGCCAAAATGATGTTCAATCTTTAGGTTATATTTTGGTGAATAGTGGTAATATATGTTCTTAAATTGTATGGGATTTCTAAAATTCTAAAATCTAAGTATATGCTATCAATCATAATTAAGGTTGTTATGTTAAGTTATTGTAAACCAAGGAGATAACCAAATTTCTTTGTCAATTTTGTTTCTAACTATAACTACTCTGGACATTTAGCTATTCACAGAAAATTGTTGTCGTGTTTTAATCCTTTGCAAAAGATGGTTTATAATAGGCTATAGAACTTTAACAGGTGCTTTCAAATACAGGCTTCTGATAACTTTGGATATTGTGACATTAGAATACAGGAAAATGTACAGGATTCATGAAGACCTGAAATGCTTACAAGTATAAGCGAAACAAGAGTTAACTAAATGGACTGGACTCAGAAAGCTGAAGCAATCTTTTTAACTTTTGCTTGCAATATTGCTGATTATTGTTGTGTTTTTCAGAGTCACAGAAACTTATTTTGAAATATTTGCACCCTTTAATAATGAAGCAAGGTATACTTTTATGAAAAAAAATTAGAGCATGTTTATTTCTCTCTTCCTGGCCCCTCTAAAATTTGGAAACTATCTGTGAATATTATTATGGCAATATAGTTGTTTGCATCCGTGCAATAATAATCCATTTTTCTTTTGCAACAGAACACAATTGGAGAAAGTTGGCATTTTACTGAGGCTTTGACTAGAAAGGTATGCTTCCCTTTAAGGAGTCAATCTTGAATTGCAGAGCCAATAAAAGCCCAGTGGGGAAACTGGCCTCATACCCTTGTCTATGCAGTCCCTGTACAGGGTTCCTGACTTATGGTCAGTAAAGAGTGTCACTTTCTAACAGGTCCAGGAGCTCCAGGTTTATTGTGGGACTTTAAGAGGAGAGAAGCACCCAACTCACAGGTATTTGAGGATAAACCCATGGTTGGGAATGGCTTTAAAAGGTCTCATCCGAGACTCCTTGTAGAACAAACATCCACTAAAGCCAATCCAAAAGACCTATGTAGAAATAATATTCTTTTTGCACTTTATGCAAATAATCAGGCCAAGTATAAGACTAAAGTCTACTTTGCAAACCACTCATTTCTATCATAATTTTTTTAACAAAAGTGAAGACTAGAGACAGAGAAATCATGTTTCAAAACATATATTTGTCATGAAATTCTAAACTCATTAGTTGTTTTTAAATTTTTGACTACATTTTAGAATAACCCTTCTCGTTCCTGTGAATCTACCATCAATCTCCAGCTGTAGCTCAGAAAGAACAAGAGAAATGGGTAATGTAAAAATCTGGATCAATATTCTAGTTCTGAGCAATTATCCTGCAAATCCTGCCTGATGACTGGAATAATTAGGATGCCCATCACCTGGAGGTTTCCTTTTTCCTTTTTGGGAACTGAAGACCAAGGGAATCAACCAAAGCCATCAACATGAACCCAAACCCTAGTAAGCGTAACTATAGCTACCATTTATCTGAATGTATCACAAGACATCCTTTTCTCTCCCTTGTTGGAAGAGGACTCAGTTTCACAGTTTTACCTTATTATTTGGCGTATGATAATGAGTCCATGCAACCCTCTGAGGAAACGCTGTTGTCCCAAACTTAATTCCAAGCTTCAAGTCAAAGCCCTAGGAAGGAAAACTGGATCTGAGAGATCCAGAGGCAAATGGCAACAGAGGTTAAAAGGCACAGCACAGGTAAGCGTGGCTCATTCCTGCCAATTAAGCCAACCCCAAGCTTCCTGTTTCATGGATAAAGTCCTTGTTGATATCCATGGCATAAATGAAGTCCAGGAAACTTTAAGGCTACTGACAGTAGCGGGGATAGAGGCATAGGTGAGAGCAGATAATTCCTATTCTCTAGGCCCTCCCTGCTTCATGGGTGCAAGCCACTCTGCCACTGATTGAGGGATCTGCCAAGGTCACTGGGACTCAGGAATGCAAGGACGGAAGACAGAAAGAGGATGCTCTTCCTTCCCTCCCTCACATATGCCGGATATCTGCTAGAAAGAGAAGAGAATGAGGGATGCCTGCCTCACTCTTTCTAGATGGGTAGCCATTCATCTTCAGTCTGTACCCCTTTCAAATGCATCCTGAACCTCTAGGGCTCCTTTAAAAGGTGCATTCTTTTTTCCTTTGTTCTCCTCAGTTCTCTCTTCACTAATAGGTAATTGTATCTCTCTACTATGAGACACTCCCCTCAGATGCATCCTCCAAACTGGAAAGAGTTAATTTCCCAGTCCTTAAACTGTTGGCTTAGGATTGGGCTCAGGGGAAGGGAACCCAGAAGCCCAACGTGGCAGCAAAAGGGTGAAGTTTTTTGCAAGTCAGGCATTTGTCCTTACCCCTCCCCTTGTTTTGTTTTGATACCTGCTTTCTAATAACCCACTTTGTCTCTTCTTGCCTTCAGGCAATCACCCTCCAAATGGTCATGCAACCAAAGCCTCTGATGGTGGCCCCTTCTGCTGGGAACCCTTAAGTAGGCCTCTGAGGGGGCTCTGACTGCCATTTCTCCAAAACAGTGCTCTCTGTCAGCAGGAAGCAGTTAAGATCTGTCTTCATCCTCATCCTTAATCTAATGGCTGTTAGATGTACTTCTTTAGAGGGGTAAATGAGATACCCAGGTGGGAGAGGGTCCCTGGGGAAACTTCAACAGGGCTGTGCACTGGAAATGCAGGCTGGGGTGGAGCCTCAGGAAGTTTGTCATTTGCAGCAGGGAGGAGCCTGGCCCCTCCTCTTCCTGTGTGGAACCTGGGATTCAAGCTGCAGGTGTAAAGCACTCTAGCAGGGACTCTGGCCTACAAGAGTCCTTGTTTGCCCCTTTTCTTCCTTTTAACCAAATAAAACCCTGTCTTACTCACCATTCAAATTATCTGTGAGCCTGAATTTTTGTGGCTGTGGGACAAAGAACCCTGTCTTTAGCTAAACTAAGGAAAAGTCCTGCCAACACTACAATATTGATGTTACCTTTAGACTCAATTGGGATAGTCACAAATCTTGTGACCTCTGGCCATACGACTTGTGAGTGATAAGGGACTATAGAAAATACACCTACATTTTAGTAGAATTCAGGTCCCTTCCATAATCCTAATCTTGTGGCCTTACATTAGTCTTGCAAAGGTGGTTTCAGCCCCTGAACAAGAAGGGGATTAGTTTTAGGGAGGGACTATTATTCTTATTTCAAAATTAAACTATTAACTAAAATCTGGCCTACACCCAGGAATGACCAAAGACTGCCTGGAGGTCAGAAGCAAGATGAAGTCAACTATGTCAGATGTCTCATACTGTCACAATTTTGCAAAGGTAGTTTCAATTCCCAATCTTGGGCTTCCTTGTTTCCACCCTTTTTCTTTCAACGTGCTTATATTGGTATATTTGAGGTGAATTTCATGTAAACAGTGTATTTTTGGGTCATATTTTTTAATACGTTATACTAATTTTTCACTTTTTTGAGTGTTACATTACCTTTAATGTAATTATTGCTATCGTGCTTACCCATAGTTTTACCTTTCCCTGCTCTTCTTTATTGCTTCCTGATGTTCAAAGTTTCCTTTTTTACCATTCTTTGAGAGTGAGCCTGCTGGCACCAACTCTCATAGTTTTCATTTATCTGAAAATATTTGGATTGCCCTTTTAACTCTTAAAGAGTATTTTATATAAACATAGGACTCTGGGGTGCCAGTTGTCTTCTTTTAGAACTTGAAAAATAGTTTATCATGTTCTCTACCCTTCATGATTTCCAACGAGCAGTTCACTTTTGTTTGAATTGTTTTTCCCTTAGTGGTGAGGTTTTATTTTTTCCTCACTGCTTTAAGAATGTTATATTTCTCTGTAGTTTGCAGATGTTTGACTATGATGCATCTTGGTGTTTGTAACTCCTGATGTGTTTACCCTGTTTAGGGTTTGCACAGTTTCTTCATTGTCTAGGTTTATATCTTTTGCCAAATTTTAGAAGGGCTTAGCCATTATTTCTTCAAGTATTTTTCCTTCTCCCATTTTTTCTCCTCTCATATGAAATGTTAGTGACACAGAGGTCAGATTTTTTTTAAAAAAAGACATTCTCACAGTTTCCTGGGGATATGTTAATTTTTTAAAACCATGTTATCTCTTTGTTATTCAGGTAGGGTTATTTGTTTTAATCTATTTTTTCCTTACCTGATTCTTTCCTCTGTCTCTCCATTCTTCTATTGATTCCATTTGTTGAATTTTTGAAAGTTTTGGTCATTTTGTTGATTTTTTTAAAAAATTACTTATTTCTTGTATCTTTTATACTTTTGCTGAGACTTTCTACTTTTCTTAATTTCAAGTATACTTATAATTACTCATTGAAATATTTTAAGATGCCTGCTTTAAAATGTTTGTCATGTTTTAACGTCTGTGTTATTTTAGTGTTGGCATCCACTGGATGCCTTTTTTAATTCAGCTGGACATCTTTCTGCTTCTTGGTATGCTGTGTAATTTGTATGCTAAACTACATATTTAGGGTATTATGTTATGAGACTCTGGATATTATTTAAACTTTCTGTTTATCTGGCTTCCCCTAACACCACTCTGACAGGGAAAAAAAGAAATGCTGCCTGGTTATTGGTAGATGGAAGTGAAACTCCATTTTCCCCATTAAGCCTCTGTTGGCCACCAAAGATGGGGACTTTTCATTACTGTTGGGTGGAGATAAAATGTTTCGTTCTCCTTTAGGCATCCACTGATTCTTCCTTGGCTGGAGGAGAAAGAGTACATCATTGCTGCTCCCTGTGTAGCCTCCACAGACACCTGGGACTGGTGGCCTTGAGACTAGGTGGTGTGAAAGCCCTGACTCTCTACTAGGTATTACTTGACATCACTTTATCAGAGAGGGAGAGTGGCAGTTTATAACTTCGCAGGGAGGAGTGGGGTTTAGTTGAAGTTTGAGCAACTTACATGGTTTTCTCTAAAACTCAAGGGGAGAGTGATGTTTATCACATTCCACCCTGACCCCCTCACCCACCTCCCTGACAGAGGATGAAAGTCCAAGCTCCCTACATGGCTCTTTCTGACACCATCTAGGCAAGGGTGAGAGTGGATTGGAGAGCTGCTCTATAACCTTGCAAGGGTGAAATCTAGCCTCTCCACTCAAGCTTTGGTGGTAGAGATTGGGGTGGGAATCTATTTTCTGTGCCCTTTTTTCTGTAGTCTAGCAGTTGTCTAAAAGGTTTTTATATTGCTAGGCTGCTCCTTTCCTGATTCTTAGGCTAAAGGCAGCAGAAATTTTGAAGGGCTTTTAAAATCTACTCCTATTGGCACTTCTGGGTTGCTGGCTTCTTTAGTACCACGTCGGACATTTAGGAGGCAAAAACAAAACCTAAGAAACTTACCAGATACCTTTCCATGGATGGTAAGGTCTATAGTCAGTATGTCTTATTATCTCCCCCTTTCAGAATTGTCTTAGGTTAGTTTTATATATGATGTGTAAGGTTTTGAGTTGCATTTAATGAGAGAAATATTGAAAGCTATTTTTCCTCTATTTTTCTGGAAGTAAAATCCTAATATTGGCTTTGTAAGTGGTGTTATATCTATTATATTTATGTAAATATCATCTATTTATTATGTATTATCTGTCTTCAAGATGTTTATTAGTGTTCTTAAAGAATGTTTAGTTCATTATTCTGTAATATTTCATTCATTTTCCCTCAAAATGTCATTTTTAAACAGAAATGCTATATAAATATTTTTGAATAAATCTTGACTTACCTAGCTTTTTTTTTTCTTGGAATTTGTATGCAGAAAATGTATGCTCAGTTGGCTAGTTTGCGTATATGGCACAAAAATAGCTATATTTATTTATAGTCTATTATTCTGCAAAATAATCTAAACATAAGAGGTTTAAGTGTTCAGTGACCTCCAACAGGTATCTAGGTAATGTAATCTAATCAGGCAACTAAGATATACCCTCCAGCAAGTAGAGTATATAAAATTGTTGACATAAGGTTAGAAATAATTTCAGAGAAAATGATTTTCAATTAAATGTAATTCTTGTCTCAGCACAGGTGGAACCAGCATTGTAGGTGCACTTTTCTTCATTGCAGAAATAAAACTTAACAAGTATTCAAAGATTCCAAAGCCCCTGTGGCCTGTGTTGTTGTTTTTTTTTCATTTTTCTTTTCTAGATAAACTAAGTTTCAATCTATTTAAGACCTTGCTAATAATATGGAACTATTGCTACCAGTGATATCTGTAATATGAAACCTGATGGACTTACAGGATCAGCATGTTATCCGATATTCGGTGGTCAGGACAAGAAAAATGTCCATTGCCAGAAATACCATATGAACAATGCCGCTTATGCTCTGGTTCCATAATGGTGACCAGCTGCACCTACTGAACAATCTCATTAGGCTTTTATTACTTCTTATTTTTAACTTTAGTACTAAAATGCTGAGGCAGCTAAGTAAGCTCAGGAGCACATTTTTGAATACTAATAGACAGCAACCTGTTATATCAAATGCTTTTTTAATGGAAAAAATAAAATAGAAAGTTTCAACAGTAACTTAATTTAGAATTTACCATTTTTTTCTTATGAGATGTAAATTTCTGCTACATGATTATTCTTTTTATTACTTTAGTAGAGTAAATGTCATTTGCAGAACTCCTGATCTGCTACAGAGCACTATTTATAGCAAAAAGCAACTGGTACTTTAATCGTATTGACATATTGACACACTTTATAGCTGTGCTGTAAAGTATTCTTTATCCTTGACACTTATGACAGAAAACCAAATCAAGCTAAGCCTTAATGATTGCTGTTCTTCTCTGAATATATGAAACAGAAGAATGCAATAATGACGAGATATGTTTTCTGAGATTTTTAAAAAAGAATCAATTTGCTATTTGAGAACACGGAAAAGAAATGTCTAAGTTTGATCAGAAACAATATATGATTAGATAATGAAAAGTATAAAATATCCATCAAGTGTGTGGCTATGTAGGTTATATTTATTAATACTAATTAACTCTTGAGATAGGGCATAGTTTCAATAGTTTTCTCTAACAGAGCACAAGAGAAAGCTAGAATTAACCTTCTAAACATCATCATACAAAGTTAGTTTCTTGATTTCGTGGTCTTTATTGAAATTAATCACATTAATTAGTGCCTAAGCTTTTAAAATACCAATTTAAATGCCCATTATATTAACCATAGGGGTTCATTATAATCAAATCTAGCAATTTTTTCCCTATTATTAGGGGTGTGTGAATTTCCCAAGAGCTCTTGTGTTTGAAATACCCCCATGGATTTGAAAATTATCTATTTAAATTTGTTATGTACATCTCTCTGTGATGGGTATCAGAATATAAATAAATGGGAACTGGCCAAATTCAGATGTTCTTTCTAACAATTGATGTCATTTAATGGTCCGATATATGAATAGCTGAAAGAAAAAATAAAATTTCTATCAAATATTCAATGTTGCTCTAGCTAATTATTTCACCTGAGCAAATCCAACAGTTGGGAGGCACAAATTCTGTTGACCTTTATGTTGTATATTATTATTATTGAGAAAATTTTTTATATAACATAAGCTTTGATACCTACAGGGAGAAATTTCAGTTTCTATTTTGGTTAGCATCCAAAGTAATTTTCTAATTTCTGAAATACTTTATGATTATCATATGATATATCATAATGCATGTATATTATGTATTATTATTTTAATGCTAACTCTACATGAGTTGGGGAATTTTATATCTTTAATTTGTAATATTTGCTCAATAGATATAGGTTTAAATATTTTATATACTTGTATATAAATATTTTTATAGCAAAAGACTTATGTTTTACTTAGCTTTTATGCTATAATAGTGAATTTAGAGTTTTCTTTCACTTTTTATTATGGAACTTAGTTTTTAATGACTAATATTCCTGAATTTAACAGATTTGTTAACAATGTTACAAAGAAGAAAACATTGCATTATGTAACAAATAAATAAAAGAGTAAACTCTTGGATAGTTTATTTTTATTGCTGTCATTATTTTGCTTACCTAGTTCCTGGGTCTCTGTTCGAATGATATGCTTATTGGAAATATTCAGAAAATGACTGTCAATTTTGGAATTGCACATAAATAGAAGTGTTTGAATGAATGTTACTATTCTCTTTGTTAGAGTTTTAAACATTTTATTTTGAAGTAATTATAGATTTACAAAATATTGTAAAAATAGCATAAATAATTCCAATATACCTTTCACTCAAGTTCACTCAATGATGCAAAAAGGAAATATGCACACTGGAGAAACTCATCCCTGATTTCATCTCAGAGGCAGCCTTAACCTGGATCTTGACCCTGCAAATGGTCAAAGCTACAGAACTGAACTATGCTACATGATTTAAAGCTTTTAAAGAAATTATGTAGCAGATATGATTTTGCCTTAGCTCTTTTCTAGTGTATCATTTTCATGAACACAAGTAATATTTTACTCCATCTATTATCTTAAAAATGAATATTAAAGTAAAACTAGATATGCCTCCATGTTAAGAGGTGACAGAAGAGGAGGTGATTAGGATTCATCATGACAACATAAATTCCAGAAGAAAGGTAACTTCTTAACATTCACTCCTATTACTTGCTTAATCCTTAGGGCATTCATAGTTCAGGAACTTCCTGAGACCTAAAGGAGTAATTTTATTCATTAGATGCTCTTTCCTTTTGTATTGTATTTTACAGTATAAATTTAATGTATTTTTGCACCAGGTTTTCATCATATAGAAAACACAATTTTACCAGTAACTCACTTAGTTAAAATAATTAGAATATAGGTAATATTTGATTGTAATATCACTTATTTTATTCATACTATAATTAATAAAAAACTATTAATTCAAAAAGTGTTCATATTAACCATATAACCTATTAGCTCCTGCGTGTGGTAACCTTTTGTAATACTCTTCTTCATATAATACTCTTCTTCATGTAATTTTATCGTCTGCTTTTTCCCTTAGTTCTGAATGCCTTGGCCTCTGTAACAACTTGTCCACATTGTACTATTCCTTTGCCCTCCATTGTAGATTCAAATGTTTCCTGTTCTGTACTTGAGATTACTGTGGTCACAAGACAAGAATAGCACTTATCACATTTTATAATATTTAGTTTTATGATCTCTTTCCTCTGATAGACATTGAATTCCATCAAGAGAAGGCCACCTATGCTTTTTACATCCAAAGAGCACTGCATCATTTTTGGAATGTTGTCAATATTCAGTATAGAGATTTTGATTTGATAAATAAATTAATGGGATTTCATAACAAAGATATGAGGATAAAATGATTGCCAGTATACAGCTGCTTATTAGAAATAGTACATTTTAGAAATTAACCAATTCAATGTTAAGCAAACTAGATGGTTACGTGGGAATTTGCACTATGTAGAGGTGTTACCTGGAAGGTTGACTTTTTTTTTTTCTCTCTGATGAGTTTAGTATTACATTGGCTCTTTTGTGTTGAAAGTATTATTTTAGTAACCCTGCATACAATTAGATGAGACAAATAAAGAAATGGGCCAGGCACGGTGGCTCACGCCTGTAATCCCAGCACTCTGGGAGGCCGAGGTGGGTGGATTACGAGGTCGAGAGATCGAGACCACCCTGGCCAACATGGTGAAACCCCGTCTCTACTAAAAATACAAAAAAAAAAAATTAGCTGGGCATGGTGGCAGGTGCCTGTAGTCCCAGCTACTTGGAAGGCTGAGGCAGGAGAATCGCTTGAACCTGGGAGGCGGAGGTTGCAGTGAGCCGAGATCGCGCCATTGCATTCCAGCCTGGGCAAAAAGAGTGAAACACTGTCTCAAAAAAAGAAAAAAGAAAAAAAAAAAGAAATGCAGCAGTGAATCTCTTAATTTCTCTCTTACTACTAAATATGAATAATGGTTAACATTGTTAGAGTGCTTTCAGTTGTATAGTCTCAAGTAACTCTTGCATGCTTTCTATTGTTAAAAGATAAGCTGAGGCATGATATTTTTTTTTCACAGTTTATTTTTGGTTCTCTAGCTCCATGTGTTCCTTTAGTTCATGAAGAAGTAGAAGGAACAGACTTTTACAGGGTGAATGCCGAAGCAAAACAAAGCAAATTTTTGAATTATTACATTTATACAGTTGCCTTACTTTATCTATTTTGCTGGAAAAGTTCCTGGTTATACAACTATGTAAAGTTAGTAGCGTCTGATTGGTTAAGCTTAAATTCTGTTTTTCTTTAATGTTGTCATTTACAAAAATGGCCCAAGTTAAGTTTTGCTTATGTTTGCAAGTCAAATATGGTTAAGGTCACTTATGAGGCCTAATTGGCTTTGTCTGCTCAGGTATTCTTCAAGTCTGGTCCCTACTTTATGTTATTTCACAATATAATAAAGATGTGATTATTTTTCCAGTTTAAAATATGCAGAGCTTTGGCAGATAGAGGCTAAACAACTTGCTAAAGGACAGTCAGATAAGAAGTTGTAGGGCTCAGCAGCCAGGGTTCTCGCTTTGAGTTACGTGTTTTTACTCCTATATTGCACTCCTTCCCAGTACTGACAGGATCAAGCTAAGGAAGGAGCAATGGGTAAAATAAAGACAGTGACAAAGAAACCTGCTCAGTTGTATCTTAATTGTCTAGGCAAAATTAGTTCAGATTATTAGATTCATTATATGATTTTCTGAAGTTTCCTCTATTCATTTTGTTTTGAAATTTTCTGAATCTTACTTGTGTCACACTTTGTCTCTATGATAATGATTTTCTCCCTATATAATTTTTTCTTGCACCCAGAAAACAAAGCAAATCAGTGAAAGCCAGAATATTATCTCTTGATGCTATTGGAATTGCTTGTACAAATAATGTGGACTTCTTAATGCAAAAAAATTATGAGTATTAGATAGTTTTAGGTGACAGTCCCATTTCAAAATGTTTGTCTTCTCACTCATCACTGCCATGATAAGATCTATTTTTTTATGACAAGGATATTTCAATTCTGTGTATACATTCCACAAAAGCGCTAATTTTCTTTGCAACTCAAAAATAGAACATCTGCTTATATTGATCCTGTGGCTGGAAAACAATAAGAAAACCTTATTCTTTTCTTTTCCTCTGCTGTCGATATGATTGTAATGCCCTGTTGCATATTAACGACTCTTGAGATGCTTACTTGTTTGAATTTGAATGGTCAGATATAAAATGAAGCAATATCAAGTTACAAAAGAGAAATAAACCATATTTGCTAAATACTTTCTTTACAAAATGAAAACATACACATATGATATAAAAGGCAAAATGAATGAAACATTTTAAAAGGAAGTTTTTCTTGTTTATAATCTTCCTTTCCAAGTACATGACAGCTAATGTAGTATTCATGGTCAAATTTAACTTTTGAGACCATCTGCTGTATGCAAGATGTCATGGAAATAAAAGCTGTTTTGAAATGAAGAGAGAACAAAATCTTATTCAGAGAACACCTCCCAGCTGTGTTAGCAGTTACTGTGTAATCGTCTTTCATTATACATGCTGTATGGGGTACGGAGGAAGATTAGAAATGCAAACCTAATGTTCTCAATTTGTACATTTCTTTTAAGACCAGATCTGCTCAGCAAAGAATTTAACCTCAGATTCCAATTGAATCTTATAAAACATTTTGCTAAGTTACTGAATATTAACTTATTGATCATTTTAATATTCTAAAAGACACCCTAAAGACAAGAATACATGCTAAAATTCGTACATTTATGTAATACTAGGCATTAAGCAGTGTAAGACTAAGGAAAGTCAGGAGTATACTGGGATTAGCTTTGTTTTGTTGTTTTGTTTTACTTCCCATTGATTTCTACTAAAAAGGCAATGCACCATAACAAAAGGTTTAATGCTACAGGTTCTGCACTACATATGCATGTCTTTTTTTAACCTAGACATCTAGAGTTTATTATTTTTCCTCCCAAAGTTGAGCTCTGTTGTTAGTTTTATGGGCATCTTTGAAGATATTCTATTGCTTTAATTATACAGCTGTAACATATAGCTAGATAATATATAATATCTTAAGCAGAAACATAACATAGATAATATTTTGCAGCTTACTTTGCACTTATCTCACAGATCATCCCATATTGGGTAATAAGAGCTAACTTTTACTATTTATAGTTGCTTATTTTTTCATTGTAAACACATTGTATCCAGTTTTTCCAGTTATATATTGCTGCGTAACAAACTAGCTAAGACTTATTTCTTAAAGCAATTACCATTTTATTCTCTCTAAGTATTTTGTGGAAAAGGAATATGCACAGGACTCAGCTGGTTGATTTTTCTGATTCATATTGTATCAACTGGAGTAACTCATTAATATTTAGATGATGTTCGGGCCAGGCTGGATTATAGAGAACGGACGATCTCACAGGTCTGGGGCCCTGATGGACATAGCCAGAGGCCTGCGCTTAATTGGCCTTTTCCAAATGAGATAGAGGCTTTTCCATATAGTACGTACAGCATGGTAGTTGACCTTCCTACAAACAACTCAGAGGTCATAATACCTAGGTGGATGCTTCCAACCTTGTTAGAGGCAATGCCTCAGACAGGCAAAGCATCATTTCTTTGATAACCTGTAACCAGAGCAGTCACAGACCAGGTCAGATTCAAGCAGAAGTAGAGAAGTTCTTGATTCTCAATAGCAGGAGTGTTATAGAATCTGTAGTCATTTTTCATACATCATACCAGTGTTTTGTTAAACAACAACAAATGCCAATAATTTTGTTATATAGTTATTTTGTGATTATATTTGTAAAACACATCATTAGAAATGATATTTATGAGTGATTTGCATTTATGATTTTGACAAATATTGCCAAATATTTTGCAGAAGTATTTTACTATGTCTTACTCCTCTTTATTTATCACAACAGCGCCCAACAAAAAATATGGTGTTTCAAAATATTTGAAAAAGTAAAGAACATAGGACTGGAGGGCAGGACGTAGTGTAGTGGGAAGAAAAGAAGAGCAGGAAGAAAGAGTTACGAAAATTAAAAAATAATAGGGCAAGAGAGAAACCCAAGATTTGAAAGTCATTAAAGTTCCTCAAATCTGTTTGTTTCTTTTCTGTTAAAACACAAAACTGAATTAGATAGTCTCTGAGGCCCATTTTGTCACTGACATTGTATAATCCCATGATTATGTTTTCTTTTTATAATTAAAAAGAAGTACCACTAAAGTATAACTTTAACATATTTTTACATTTGAAAGATTAGAGAGAATATGCAAAAACTGAAGGCCTTGCACACTTGAGATGTTCCCCCTCCTTAACACTTACGACTCTGTTAAGTATAACTGGTACTATTCATGTTTTTATCAAAAGCTTAACAATTACACGTTTAGATTTTATAATATCATCTTTACCAGACAAAACATTGATAATAACTTTCATTTTATAGGATGTAATAGATATAGTTTTATTATTTTAATGTTTTTTAAATACTATTCATTATAACTTTCAAAAGGAGATCAAACCTTCTAGAGATCAAACACAAAGTAGGCAGAAGCACATTATGTCAAGAGCTTAACATCTGCTTCGTTTAAGCTAGAAGAAGTGTTTTACAATGTGAATTTCAGCTAAATGTATTTAATGTGTATATTTGCAGTTGAAGATAAGACAAAATTGATTGTATTGTATCATCATAAAAATATACATTAAAAGCAATATAAAGTAAATTACTCGAATATAGATTATATCTGATAATCTCACAAAAGTTAAAAAGTTAATCTTCAGGATGCCTACAATTGAAGTAACAAGTGATCATAAAAATCACGCAAAAATAAAAATATTTGGTGAATGTATCTCAACTGCTGATGTTCTAATTTTGAGATACTATTAAAAAAAGTTAAACTGATACGTGACACCTTATAAAAGTAATGTGAAAAGGATTTTCTTATTTTCAAGACTTGTATCTCAGTTAAAATATTATTTTATTTATGTAAAATGTGGTTTGGTCAGATATTACGTAAAAAATGAAATAATGGAAAGTTGCAATTGAAGGTTACGAATAAAACTTAAATTATCCTGTATCTGCTTTAACTTTTGTTTTATATTTTAAACATAATCTACATGATGGCCATAATCTAGGCTTGTGTTTTAGAAACTTCCTTGTATTAACTTATTAAATTGAGGAATTAAGGTGGAGGGAAGACACATGGTGACAGATGTCATTGGCTAACTGAGATACATTTATGAAAATGATATGTAATGCATAGTACCTTTGAAAGTTTAAAGTTTGCAAATAACAGTAATTCTATTAACAACATGACTTTTTTGCCTCGTAGTCTACTATTTTTTTTTCAAATAAAATCTTAATGATAACCTATGCAATAGTCTGGCTTATAATTCATTAGAATCTTGTCCTTTAACTTATATAACTTGAGCCTTTCTCTTTTAGTGGTTTGTCTCAAGTCTTTGATGCCTTTACTTTTCTCTCCAAATAAACTATACTAGATTTCTACCAAAGGCCCCCTTGAACGATAAGCTGCAGTAGCTTGTGCTTTCCTAACTGCCCATTATTTATCAACTCCCATTTAAAATGTATTTACTTTCCCTTTCATGCTGCTAAACACTGTGGCAGAAAATCAAACCGCTTTGTTAAGTGAGTAGTTCACAATTTAATGTGATGTTTTATACACTGACACTCCCCATGCAGCCCTTCCCAGTGCCTTCTTGGTTGGCCATTCTTTCAGAAATGTCTTCTCAATTTTCTGTTGTACCCTCTATGGCAGTGGTTTTCCATTTTTCTTTTTAAACAATGTATTTCTGAAAATTTTTCTAAATGATGATAGCATGATCATTCATTGCTTAATATATATAAAGCATTTAAATGTCTTTATGTCTTTAATCGTTAGCCTTAGAAATTAATAAATTACTTTCTTTATTGTTTTTATTCCAATGAGGAAATTAAGGCCAAAAGAAGATAAACGGCTTGGCTAGGTTTTTGTACCTAGTGAGAAAGAGGGACTATAAACCTGGGTCTATACAGCCTCCCTCCTTTTCATTCATCCATTCAACATGCCATATATTGATTGACTGTGATGTGCTTCTGTATTAGTATTAAGTATCCAAGAGTCTAGACAAATATAGTACCTTGACTGGTAAAACTGACAGTCACTTAGAAAGGATTGAAATTGGTCAAGTGAGGACAATTTTGCCCAAATGTAACAAGGAAAAGTCCACTGTATGCAAATTTGGAGTGGGTTTGAAACAGAAAGCTTTCATTAATTTAAAACATGTAAGCTGAGATCTGAATAACAAATAGGATTTAGCTACCCAAATTATGTTTATGGGAAACAGGAGACACTGGACAATGCCTAATAAAATGAAATTTTTCAAGGTCAAATGTGTCCGGTTTCATAAACTGAAGAAGAGTTGCATGGGGCACAAAGAAACTGGAAAGAGGTTCATTTCTCTCCCTCTCTTTCTCTTTTTCCAAGCCTCTTCAAGTGGTTGCTACTATAAACTGCCTGTTTGCAGTACTTTAAAAATAAATATATTTTCTTATCTTATAATATGTGTTTTAGAGTAGAATGAGAAAATATTATTTAACAAAAATCAAAACACATCTCTAATTCTAACATCAAATGATAATCACTGTTATCTCTTTCTGTGTATATTTTCAGATATTTATTCTATATAAGAATGTGTATATTTTTATAGAAAAAATATGAACATAAATATATTGTTTTGAATCCTTTCTATTAACATAATATCTGAAATTATTTTCTATGTTCATAAATTTTCATCTCTGACACAACACTTGAACAGTGTAGTACTGATAGAAGAATGCACAGTCAGATCGATCAAGCAGAATAAATATTCCAAAAATGATACTGCTGTGCTGCTATGAATAAACATCACAGTCTAAAGAAGAAGTAAGTTATTTAACCATGATTTGGGGACATTTATAAAGTACATAACAAAAATCAATTTTGATCCTTGACTTCTTGTTCTCTTACACTCCACAGATTCCAAAATTAGAAGTGACTGTTTTATAAAAATTTATATCCACAAACCTGGAGTAAGATTTATTGGTATGCATATTGGTATACAATAGACATAGGCTTTGAAGTGAGAAAAATCTATGAAATAAACAGCAGAATTTTGATGCATTTGAATATATACAAATAGGTGTTATTTTATAGTTTTAAATATATCATAAATAAAATATAAAAAATTCAAGTGAAAACTAGAAACTTACTAGCAACCTAGGCACAGTTGAGGAGTTGATATATAAGCAGCTTGTATGAAATAAGAGGGAAACTCTTAATACTCAAATAGGATAGTTGGTAATGTCATGAGCAGGCAATTCTAAAAATTTAAAAAAAATAAAAAGAGAGAAAAACAAAAAAGAATCCTCAAATCTTCTGTGAAATTTCTCTTTACATTCCTGCTATATGAAATAAAGCAAATTTCTGATGATATTAGTTTTCTTGCAGCTCTCTCAAGGAATGACACTTTCTTTTTTTTCTAATGCACCCTGATCTACACTTTGTGGAGGTGGAGCAAGGGCTCTTGCTCCTCACTGCTGTTTCTAGGTTATTCTCCTTTCTCTTTTAAAAAATCTCATGTTATCAAATTAGCTATGTGCTAATCCCTGTTTGATGCCATCATCAGTTCTTCTATGGCCTCCTCAATGCCTAATAACTCCTGCCATAATATGGATGATGACAACATGCAGAAAGATGTTCATTACTTTGTTACTCTTACTCATGTTTCCCTGATCTACTCTCATGCAATGATGTTGTCTTCCATCACCAGTAGCCACTTAACGAATGTCATTACCATTAACTGAAACACTTCTGTAATCTCAGTTTTAAATATCTCATTCTCCGGCCGAAAGTTCTTATCTTTCCAACTCATTCTCTCTAATGTTCCACTTCTAACACTATTTAACTCCAGCTGTACCAATGCTCCCCTCTTTAACTTCAATTGTACCAGTGCTCCATTGATGCTACACCATCTCTCGAACCTCTTGCTTCCTTACTTTCCTCTTATTCATCATAATTCCCAAGGTGAATCATCATATTCACTTATCTCCATACATACTCATTCCCTTTCCTTTCCTCCACTTCATTTTAATTATATGAAGAACTGAAACTTTCTGCCTACTGCAGGCCTATATTGTGTTACTGAATGTAACTGGAAAAAGTACAATCATGCTGACTATGTTATACACACACACACACACACACACACACACACACACACACACACAGTATTAGTTTGTTCTCATGCTGCTAATAAAGACATACCCAAGATTGGATAATTTATAAAGAAAAGAAGTTTAATTGACTAACAGTTCAGCATAACTGGGGAGGCCTCAGGAAACTTACAATCATGGCAAAAGGGGAAGAAAACACGTCCTTCTTCACATGGCAGCAGCAAGGAGAAGTGCCAAGCAAAATGGAGAAAGCCACTTATAAAACCATCAGATCTCGTGAGAACTCACGATCATGACAAAAACAGCATAGGGATAACCGCCTCCGTTATTCAATTACTTCCCATTGGGTCCCTCCCAGGACACATGGGGATTGTGGGAACTAAAATTCAGTATGAGATTTGGGTGGCAATGCAGGCAAACCATATTATATTTGTATGTATGTATATATATGTATGCATGTAGGTATAATATATGTATGTATGTATGGACATATAATTACTGAACCAAAACAGACCTTAATGCTACTGCCAAACTAAACTATATGTTCAAAACCATTCATTCTTTCTACATGGTTTCTACATTCTTTCTACAACTCTTTTATACATGGTCTTCTCTTTAATCTGGCTATATCTCTGGTTCAACATTACTCTCAGATGATAATTCTAATTCATACTAAATAAAGAAAAAATTATAGCAACTTAAAGACAATTTCCACAAGCTTCCACTGCTTCGTCCTTCATCATTATTATATACTCTACTCACTCCTCTTTATTCATAGACTAATATCTGGGATTCATAGCTCCCATGATGAAGTATATTCCTATATTCCATCGACTCTTACATTTTTAGGAATATTGTTTCACCATATTCTTTTTCTATATATCCTATATAGTATATAGAAAGGATATACTGTACCATTCTTTCTGCTGCAAAATTAATTTTTATATCTCCTTCAACTTGAAACATGGTGCTGTTTCTCCCAACTTAGAAATGGAACAAAGTAAAAGCCTTTCTTGAGCTTATATTTCTTCTAGCTGCCACCCTACTTTCTTTCCTGTTATAGCAAAAATCTTTTTATAAGTTCTCTATATACCATCTTTCATTTCTTCCTTCTGTTTTTCTCTTGAATCTGCTTCATTTTTATATCAAAATCCTATAGCTATAATCCAGTTGAAATTCTGACCTATTTCTAGTCATTATGTTACTTTATGCATTGGCAGCATTTGATAGAGTTAGTTACTGTTCTCCTTGAAATACTTTTGTCCCTTAGCTTTACAGTCACCTGAATTTTCTACTATTTGGCTGCTCTTTCTCTTTATCTCCCTTGTTCATTAATCTAAGATCCTTGAACTTTAATCATTGTATATCCAGTAGCACAGTCGCTGGCCTTCTCTTTTCTATCCAAATAAACCTCTTGGGTTAATCTATGCTGTTCCAGAGCTTTATGCATCACTTTTACACTAATGATGTATGATAGTGTATACATTTACATCTATCTGTAGCCTAGATTCTTGTATCTCTTCTTGGGTATCCAAGTGTTTTGAAGTTAAAGTATATCTAAAATAATTAATCTCCCCCTGCCAAACTGTTCCCTACTATATATTCATCATGTCTGCTAATGGCAACTCTCTCCTTTTGGTTGCTTAAGGCATTTGATTTGTTAATAATCTTAAAATCCCTGCCTTCAAAATATTTCTCCCTCTCACCAGCTCTGTGGCAACAGTCTCTCCTCTGCATATTTTTGTGATAATATTGTAACAGGTATCTCTCCTCCTGCTCTTCCCTCTCTACAGTTCATTCTAAAATCACCAGCCAAAGAGATCCTTTTAATACATAAGTTAGATAAAATAAGTTCCCATATTAAAACATTTCAGTGGATGCCAGTCTCACTAAGAAATTAAAACAATAACCCTTCTAATGTCCTACAAATCCCTCCATGGCTGGCCTTCCAGGATTTTGTCTGCAGCCTCATCTCTGATACTCTCTACCTTGTACATCCAGTTTCCTCTACTCTCCTTCATAGGCCAGCCATACTCACATTCACGACAGTTGCACCTGCTCTTCCCTTTGCCTGAAATGCCAAATCTAAAGGAAACTAGAAAGTTCACTCACAACTGTTTATTTATCATTTTTTATTTGGAAACATTAATATACTATACTATTCAATCAGTAAGTTTTAGTATATTTTAAAAGTTTCACCACTAATTCCAAAATACTTTTATCACCCCCCCAAAAAAAATCCCCATACCAATTTTCACTCACTTGCCGTTCCTCCCGCATACCTGTCCCAGCTGCTGACAACTGCCAATCTTCCTATGTGTATGGTTTTGCATATTAAGCACAGTTTACATAAATGGAATGATACAATGTATGATATTCCATGATGAAAATATATAATACTACTTTTTGTTTACTCATTCACTCATTATCAGGCATTAATGTTTCTGCTTTTTGGCTATTACAGATAAGGCAGCTATGAATATTAATGTATAGGATTTTGTGTCAAAATCTGTTTTTAATTATCTTGGCTATATACTTGGAAGTGAAATTTTGAGGTCATATGATAACTCTGTGTTTTATCTTTGAGGAACTCCTAGACTGCTTTCCAAAAAAGCAATTTAGGAGGAATATATAAATAAATCCTTCAACTCAACAACAAAGACAACTGAATTTTAAAGTGGGCAAAGTATTTAAATAGACATTTATCCAGAGACAATATAAAATATTCAAAAAAGTATGAAAAGATGTGAAACATTATTAGTTGTTAGGAAAATATAAATCAAAACCACAATGAGATATTACTTTATACCCCCTAAGACGGCTATAATGAAAAAGATAGACAAAAATTTGGGGTTAGTATATAGAGAAGTTTTAACCCTGCCTTGCTTCTTAAGGTTTTTCCTCAAATGTTACCTCCTCAATTATATTGTTTCTGTTCACTACGTAAACATTCAAATTCCTTTACACCAAACTCACTCAAAACTTGCCATCTCCAATATCATATTCTTTGCTTTGTTTTCCTTCTCTACTTGGTACCTATGATCACTTGTGTCAGTCAGGGTTCTCCAGAGAAGCAGAACCAGTGGAACCCATGCACACGCACACGCTCACACACACACACACACACACACACGAGAAAAAAATCGATTATAAGGCATTGGCTCATACAGTTATAGGGGATAGCAAATCTGAAATCTATAGGGAAGACCTGGTGACTGAAAACTCTATAGGATTCAGAATTTCTATATTACAGCCCTGATGCACTTAGTTCACTAATGCTAAATGTTAGCGCTACTTACCACGTGTTTTTGCAACAACATCTAGAGTAGTGTTTGATCAAACAACTGGGAGAAAGTCCTAGTTAAGCTGACACATAAAATAAACCATCACATTATTGGGCTTATGTTATATTTATTTTATTTAATTTCCCGTGTCCCTGACTGGAATGTAATATAAACAACATGAGGGTAGGTTTGTACTTTTATTTTGTGTGTGTTGAATCCACAGAGTTTAGAATAGTACCTGGCATATAGTGGGTACTCAGTAATGAGTCAATGAAAGATAAAACAAAAGGGAATGAAATGCTATTTTTACTAATCAAATGTCATAGCTTAATGTCATAGCTTATCTGTCAAGGGTGGAATAAATTACTGCTTGCATCCACAGTATATACGCATATAAAATTAAACATTTTGTAAAAGCAATTTGACAAAATATTTTACAAAAGATTCATAGAATCAAAGCTTTAATGGAACGGTCCTGCTGCTTGTAGTCTTCTCTAAGTAACAAGGACAAATATCAATATACAAGAATACTTTTGTTTATACAGCGTGTCAATTTGAGTGAAAATTGAAAATAAGGCAAATATTTAGACAAGTTGCGATTAATCTACATATTTAGTAATTATATGCTATTGCAATCACATCCACAAAGCACTTCTACTTACTTTGGAAAGTGTTTGAATATGACCACCTTGTATGACACTCAAGGCGTGGCCATGTTTATAGCCTATTCTGTAGTCCTAATATGAGCAAATTGTCCAAGAAGAGGTTTTGAGGATTCTTCATTATTGGCGGTCAAGTGTAATACCACCGACTATATCTCTCTTTGTGACACTACTTTCCTCTCAAGTCGGATATGATTGAATTCTGCAAAAATTCAGGTTAATAATCTGGTGAGCCAGCCAGCTACTAACAGGGCAACCAAACAACTCTTTGAGTGTGAATGAAAGAGCAATCGGATGGTTTCTAGAGAAGATATACAGAAACCAAGACCTGGTGTCAAAAGTGTTTGCTCAGTGAGAAAAAGAATGTTTGTAATAATCTTGCTAATTATTCATGGTCATACATTCAACTGAAATATATCCCAAATGGAGTTTTGAATTAATGCATATATGTATATGAAATGAATATGCATGAAAGGAAATATATATGTGAATTATTATGTATATAAATATATTCACATATATATTTGCTTTCATGCATTATATATATATATATATATATACACATGAAAAATGTAACAATGCAAGCTACTAGAAAAGAAAATAATAAGAGAAAGACATTTCCTTGTTTGTAAAATCAAAGTTGCAACATCTGCTTGCTTCACCTGCTGAAAAGAATACTCCAGCTTGTACTTTATGGCTAACAAGCCTGAACACTTTGAAATACACTTTTCTAGTCACCCAACCTGTAAATTAAATACATTAGCAATGCAACTATTGCATTGTGATTTATTCACAGGAATAAATCACGTTTTAAAAAGTTACAATGCTGAGTAACAAAAAAGTATAATCTATGTTTTACCATTAGTGTCTGAAACTTCACAATGTAAACCAGTGTTGCTGAAGTTGCAAATAGCTTCCATGACAGCTGCAATGATATGACTTTTGGACTAGGAAAGAAAATCATGCTAGAAAGCAATAACCTTTTCTGCAAATTCTCTCTACATAGCGTGTTTCTTTATTAGCATTTTCACACCTTTAATAGAAAGACCATAACATTTTCTATAGTTTAAACTGTTGGATTACATAGTAATTTTTAAATTTAGAAAATAAATAAAACACACGAGTAGCCAATTCTAAAAAACACCCACTGGAGAGAGTCATTGTTAACAATTAAATATATATAAATGCACACATATACATGTATATATATAAACACAAATACATTTATATACTTCTATTACAATTGCATATGTACCCTGTGTTCAATTCAGAGAACATTAAAAGGGTAAAATATCTAAGATACAAGGCAAACATAGCTCCCATACAATCATCAAAAGTCAAAGACTTTACCATTGACTTTAACATTGACAATTTTCTTTGATTCAGTTTCTTTTTCTGAAGATTTTTCAAACAATTGTTCACATTTCAGGTTCATATTTTCTTTCACTTTCTTTTTTTTTTTTTGTTCACTTTATCATTATCCTTGCCAGAGGGTGGTGCAAGTATTTTATCTTTTCAAAATCAATGGTCTGGCTCTTATTTATCTAATTCCTCTTCATCTGATTTAATACTTTCTAGTTTTCCTCCGGGTTCCTTTGGAATTAAATTATTATTATTTACATATTGAATTACTTAGCTCTTAATTAAGACATATAATTACAGGGGTATAATATTTTCAAGAAAATAGACTATGTTTCTGTTTTTTTTTTTTTTTTTTTTGAGACGGAGTCTCGCTCTGTCGCCCAGGCTGGAGTGCAGTGGCGCGATCTCGGCTCACTGCAAGCTCCGCCTCCCGGGTTCACGCCATTCTCCTGCCTCAGCCTCCCGCGTAGCTGGGACTACAGGCGCCCGCCACCACGCCCGGCTAATTTTTTTGTGTGTTTTTTAGTAGAGACGGGGTTTCACTGTGTTAGCCAGGATGGTCTCGATCTCCTGACCTCGTGATCCGCCCGCCTCGGCCTCCCAAAGTGCTGGGATTACAGGCGTGAGCCACCGCGCCCGGCCTTATGTTTCTGTTTTATGTTTGGTTTTTCTTCCTTGTTATTCCCAACTTCCCAATTCCCATTTAAACATGGAGTAAGTTTTTAGACCATCTCTCAAGATGGAAATTTGAGACTCACCTGAATAGTAAAATGAACTGGCAGGGAAAAAATATCGAACATATCAGGTATGTAAGCCCTAACCTTAGATTCTGATTTAGTTGCCTTCTTTCAGACTCAGACACAGGTATTTTTTAAAAAACTCTCTAAGTAGTTCAATCATACAACCAGGATTAAGAATTATTCAATTTAGGAACACAAAGAGAAATTGGGATACATTCCAAATGATTTGGATAATTAAGGCCTGAAAGTATGAACAGATTGTTCCATTTTAAATTACTTCCTGACCCAGGGTTTATTTAGATGATTGTTTTATTAATTTTTCAATTTCATTAATTTTATAAATTTACATCAGAATAAAAAATTATTCTTGTTAATTATAGAGTACACTGAAAATGCAGACAAGCACTCATTGTTCCTGGGGGTGGACAACCGAGTTCTTTCAAGTTCTTCATAACTAAATTTTGCCAGATGTCTGGTATTTTGAGAATTTACCACATGATATGCCAAATGCCAAAGACAGTTCTATTTCTCTTTTTCTTACTAATTTATTGTAGGATAAGTCTTCTGTTGGTTTAGAAATAAGAAGCAAAGAAATCAATGGCCAACTAAAAACTCAGCACCTATTCAACGGAGCAGCTATTTTTTACCCTATATGAGCCTGCAATTTCTCTTTCAACAAAATAAAGATGCTAGGACTATACACTCAGAGATTCTGTATCAGTAGGTCTGGGTTAAAATCCTGATATCTGTCCTTTTCTTAAAAGCTCAAATAGTGATTCTGATGTGCAACCAAAAAAAAAAAGAATCAAAATTATGAAGGACTAAATATACAATTTATTATGAGTAATTCAAATCACAGATTTCTATTACAGTAAGTGAGCTTGGAGGCAAAGATAACTATCTTCTTTTCTTTTTATGAGGTGTACAAAATTGCTTTCTTTCAGTTGGTAAAATATGTGAATGCACTATCTGCAGATTTTGAAATGATTTTCATCGTTTATGGTTTCCATGTTAACTTTAATCTTTATATAATTGCCATTTACCAAAATTTGTCAAAGACCATGAGGAATTAGCAGTTTGTCTTGCATTTTCTAGGTCTTAATATTTGTCTTCTTATTATTAATGGTATATTTTGCTTTTGAGAATTTTTAAATAGTATTTTAGTTGAAAATTGAGAGGTGATTTCATGGTTTTTTTTGGCTATGAAATTTGAAGAGCTTTTTCTAGTAATACAATATATGTTTTAAAAGTCATATCAATATTGTATAATTAGATCCTGAACAAATACTCATTCAAAATATAGAGTATCAATTGTCTTTTAGGATGAAATTGAATATTCTCTGGTTTCTTTTCTTTTCTTTCTTTCTTTTTTTTAAAGATGGAGTCTTGCTCTGTCACCAGGCTGGAGTGCAGTGGTGCGATCTCAGCTGACTGGAACCTCCAACTCCCTGATTCAAGCGATTCTCCTGCCTCAGCCTCCTGAGCAGCTGGGATAACAGGCACGTGCCATCATGCCCAGCTAGTTTTTCTATTTTTAGTAGAGACGGGGTTTCATTATGTTGGCCAGGATGGTCTCAATCTCCTGACTTCGTGATCCACCCGCCTTGGCCTCCCAAAGTTGGTCCCCTTTTCTTCAAAGTACATAGGTCTAGTATACTATAGTGTTCATCCTTTCAAGCTGTGTAATTAGACACTGTGACTACTCTTGCCTTACGTATGAAATTTTACTCAGAATTTTGGACATTTGTCTTTCTGTCTAAATTATCCTTTGGAACATGATTTATTTAAATATGATCCAAAAGACAGTTGTGGTTTCTATTTACGTTGTAATTACTGAAATTATATCTATCAGGTTCAGTATGTTGGAGAGTTAACATAATTTTGAGACCGCATAATGCAGAGATAATAATATACTGTGAGCAAAACCAAAGTGTAAGTTGAAATATCAAAACAATATATTCTTTATGCCATGTACATGAGATCAATTATCACTTCTCCTAACACAAATAGACAGTATCAATGAATATTAGGCAATACATAGGAAAGCATAATAGATGTTCATGTATGCACACACAGACGTCATTATTGCAGCACCCTCAAACTGATTATATTTCCAACATTATTATAAACATAACATTTTGTTTGTACTGAGTACTATAATTATATTTAACTGATATTTACTGTGAAATTGACCATTTTTCTATGTAATATATAAACACTTTCTGCCAGCTAGCATCATTAAATCGCTTTATTCTTGAGTACTCTATATATTTCAGGTAATAAAATAAAATAACTTTGTGAAACCCTCAGAGTGGATATTTAGTAAATGAAATGGTAGAATATGTTGATGATCTTAGTTTCAGCCACTGAAAAACTTTGTCAGGTTATAAAACTGGAATATCTTATCTGTTTCATGAGAAAAAAAGTAAGGATATATAAATTTATAAATAAATTTAAAATAATTTAAGGGGAAAATCTTTGAACTCTACATTAAAAATATTGAAACAATCACAATATTGTTATTTGACTAATTTAATAAAAATATTTTATCACAGTAAAAAATATCAAAGACCTATAGCAATGTATTTTTCTATCATCTTCTCACTCAATCTTTTCCTCAACCTGCATTATCTTCTTTTCTTATTCTTTTTAAAATTGTTCGGTGAATATAGTACTTGTCAAAGGCAGTAGACTGACATTGAAAAGACTCAAGTGTTCATCTCTTTGTTCAGGATTATGTGAGTGTGGAGAAGAGTTCAGCTTTTTGTCGTTCTTCATCTCATTCTACTAGGTACATATTGAAGGACAAAAAAAATCAGTTTTATTCTGTCCTTACTGATTCTTTCAGTCTTTCAATCAAATGTGTCATCCATTTGTGATTTGAATTTTACACATAACTCTTTGATAGTATATGGATTTTTTATTTTATTACTAACAAGAATGATAATAGCAAAGTTAGATATGCATTGCTAACTAAGCATTATATGACTAACAATACTTTTTTCAAAATAAATGATCATTGTCGTGAAGTTTAACACTTGAGTTCATGAGAACTAAGTATTTAATATGTGAGCCCATGGATGAGCAAGGAGTGAACATATACATACGTTTGTATATATGTACATATAACAGATTTACAAATATAGAAAGATGAAGAAAAATAAATATAGGGCTGGATTTAATCCACCTTCCGATACATACTACTGTAGAGCAATGTGTTATTCAAAGATATGGGAATTCATTTTGACTGATTGAAAGCCTTCAATTTTAGTTTTCCATGGCCTATCCACAGGTGCTCATGTGATCATTAATAAAGGAAAAACTTTATTAAACACGGGGATTACAATTCAAGGTGAGATTTGGGTGGGTACACAGAGGCAAACCGTATAACACAATGTCTAGAATTGTAAAAGCAATTTTATGACCATAAGAGAACAAAATATTTAAATAAATAACAAACAAATACAAAAAAAAATTACATTGGACCTAGCCTAAAGTCCTATGGGACTTGTTGCTACATGTGAAATTAATAAAGCACTAAAGTCATGTAATGAGTGGGATCCATTCTGAGAAATGGGTTATTTGATGATTTTGTTGTTATGCAAACATCATAGAATGCAAGTACACAAACCTAGATGATATAGCCTGCTACACACCTATGCTATTGTACAGCCTATTGCTCCCAGGCTATAAACCTGTACAGCATGTTACTGTACTATAAACCGTAGATCATTGTAACACAATGGTAAGTGTTTGTGTATCACTAAATATGTTATGTTTAAGCATAGAAAAGCTATAGTAATAATATGGTATTATAATCTTAAAGGACCACTGTTATGTATGTGGTCAGTCATTGACGAAAACATTATTAGGTGGCACATGACTATATTTGGTAAAGTTACTCTTATTTGTGTTTTCTATAGCTTGGGAATAGAATGATGTATAAGTGATACATGTATGCATGTGTTCCTGGTGATTCTTATAATTTTCAAAGACATATAGTGAAAGTTTGTCTTCAAGATACCAAATATTGAGATGAAGATTGAGAAGTCCAATCATCAATATGCTCTACATGGTGCTAGATATTTTTATATTTAGAAAAAAATAAGAAAGATGTGAAAATTTAGGATGATAAATAAAAATTATATGATAATATTCTGTCAAATAGTTACATATATCCTTTTTATTACACTTTATAGGCAATAGTTCCTGTAAATCACTCTGTACTTTTAACTCTGGTTCTTTTGCTATTTGTTTTTATCTGTTTTTCTTCAGATGGTTAAGTCTAAGTGTTTCTGAAATGCTATTCTTAGCTGCAAATATTACTATAGCTTAATGACATTTGTACATATCCATCATTTTGTTATCCAAAATGTTTTGTCTAAACTGAGGGTTGTAAAGATCATATCAACAGTCTTTGCTAGTAGCATTGATAAGGCATAAATATTTCTTCGAAAGCTAATTTAAAACACATATGTAGTATTCACAGATGGTCTCTGAATCTAGGAAAAAAATGATAGACTGATTTTTTCCTTTTTGTAAGTTTAGGTTAATAGATTTTCAATTGAGACTGCTAGACTGTCTTCAGAAATTTCACTTAAGGAATACCTTACTAACCTACTTTGTGTTAGTTATTGATTTTTCCTGTGTTAAACTAAAACTCTGTTTAGAAATACAAAAGTTCGTTTGTTCTTTTTATATTTATAAAACATATTTTGGGAAATTTAAATGTAACTAAAATTAGTGATAGAGACAAATTTCTACACTTTGAGAAAATAAATTTTTCCTCCAAAACTAATGTTTATTTTATAGGTGCATTCATTCAAAAAATGAACAAAACTTTCCTGTAGAATTGGCCTACAGCTCAGTAAACTAAATTAGAAAAATATTTGCCTTAGATTTTACTAGAGTTCCATAAACTAATCTGCCTTTAGTTCAGTAAATTTATTTTGAGATGTTACTGTTTATTCTTGTTAATTCTAGTTTGTTTTTTTTTTAATTATCCTCTTGTTTAATTATTTCAGCCCTTGTCACTGCTCTCGGCACTTGCTGATTATCTAAACATAAAAATGTTTAATTTGCACTAAGTTAATTCTAATTTTCCCCAAGTGGTTGTTGATAATATCATAAATGAAATACTGGTGAAATTATCTATTTACAGAAACATTGTATTTTATTAAAATTATTTAATATATCTCTTTAAAAATCCTTTCATGCCTGAAAATGCCTTAATTTTAGCTGGAGAATCCTCTTTAGAAGGTTCCTTCTTTAGGGTCCGTCTTTTGGAAGATTTCTGATATTGAGCATTCTTTTAGATTCATAAATTCATAAATCCTATAAATTTCCCACAATTCCTATTGTTGATCTCTTGTAAGAAGACCGAATGGTGCTATTAAAAATAATATTGTGATTATATATATAGAAGGAAATCAATTTGTGTGTGTATGTATATAAATATATACATAATGAAACAATTATCCCCTTAGGCCTAATCTTTTTCAGATCCAATATATAAAGCAGGCACAGGAAATTTTTGTAAAAATTTGATCCTTGAAATCTATCATTGACAATTTTTTTTAAAATGCCTTTCAAATATGAATTAACCCAAGTCCATTCTGTTCAGGTGTTATGGTCTGGATGTATCCCCCAAATTTCATGTGTTGAAACGTAATGGCTAATGTGATCATATTAATAACTTGGGCCTCTAGGAGATAAATAAGTCATGAGGATGGAGCCCTAAGAGATGGGATTAGAACCCTTATTAAAGGATTGGAGGAAGTAGGTTCACTCTCTTCTGTCTGTTCTATCATCTCATTACATCAGAGGAATGATATTAGAGAAAGCTATAAATTTTTCAGTTTGTATACGTTGTTGAAGTACTAATGCCATTGCTCACTGTCTTTCTACTATAACAGATGAAAAGAGATTTCGTTCTCTTAAAGCAACTATTCAATTAAAAATGAGACACAGTCTGGAGGGACTGCATTCCTAACCATGAATGGCCCACAAAGGTGAAGATGCTATCAGTAGTAAACAGTAATTTTATTTCCTAGAATCACCAGAAGTTATAAAAACTAAACTGACTTTTCCTTCCAGCTATTTTATATACCTTTTAAATTAGATCAAACAAATTCACTTACTATTTGTTAATAGTCTAAATTTCTTTTCAGTAGTGAAGTCCCCAAGTAGAAAAAAAATTATTATTTTATCAAATCAATTTTGGCAACTCTATATATGACAATTAAAAAGATATTTTATACATTCCATAGTCTATGGATGTCAACGTATCATTTAAAACATGTAAAATAAAACCTGAGCTGGGAGTAATGTTTTAATAGGAATAATTTGGGCATGTTATACTTAAATTGTCTCTGTTGTCTCTGAGTCTCTGGTGGTTATTATCTTCCTGCTAAGAACTTCTTCTGGACAGCCTGGTTTCCTGGTAAAACACCCTGTGCTCAGTCAATATCTCTGGTTTCTAACTCCAAGAGAAGTTTCCTCTCTTTATGTACAAAATAGTCTCTCTTTTATTGTAAAATTGCTATTGAATACAGGTAAAGAGAAATAATTTAAGGTCTAGGTAATAAATATTTGTTCTTACTAACAGGTCTTAACTCTTGGGAAGGCAAAGATGATTGGTTTGCAGAATCAAGCACCAAATCTGGAAACTCAAAATCAGAGGAAAATAATGGAAATTTCAATTGTATAACCCATCTTTTTGAGAATAACATATAGAAGGTTATAAGACTATGTGCCTAAATAAATATGGTTTTCTTCCTTAATACTCATATTTCTCCTTTGAAAACCCAGAATTATAACAGCCTTGGAGTTTTCAAGCATTTTTAAAATTTATGACATTTTCATTAGTTTCAATTAATTCCAAATACACTAAAGAACATAAAGAAATGAAATCAATATAAACATAAGGAAAATTTGATAGTACTATTTCTTATATTTAAATGGGTATATTATTTTTTGTTACTGTTCTAAAAATTACCTCAAACTTCGTGGCTTAAAACAACACTGGCTTGTTGTTGTTGTTTGTTTAATTTTGTAGTTCTATAGATGAGAAATCTTACTTGGCTAAATTCAAGGTATTGGGAGGGTCACGATTTCTTCTAGATGCTCTAAGGGAGAATCTATTTTCTTGCATGTTCCAGCCTCTAGTGGCTGCCTGTTATACTTGGCCCACAACTGACCCCTTCCATCCATCTTCGGCACCAGCAGCAGTGGAGCTAATCCTCACAGAATCTTTCTATACTCTTATTCTGCTTCTTTTTTTTCTTTTTTTCAATTTTTAAAGACAGTCTTGCTTACACTAGGCCTACTCAGATAATCTAGAATAATCTCCTTACTTCAATGTCAGTTTATTAGCAACCTTAATTGCATCTGCAACTCTAATTCCACTTTATCGTGCAAGTTATGCAAGGTAACAGATTCACAGGTTCCAAGGATTAAGTCAGGGACAGCTTTGAGGAGTCGTTGCTCTGTCTATCATAATGGATATTTAAAATCAAGACTAAAATAATCTGTGAATTGTGTCTGCAGTCTGGATTTAGTATTTTTTTGAAAAGTAGAAATTCCATTTCTAGATCTTCATATAACTTACACAAACATATTTGTAGCCATTTTTGAAATTTATTCTACAAAATCATTTGAATACTGTTTCTATTAGCCAAACTGCACGTCTCTAATATGTTCAGAAAAATGCTTCTCTTCCTCCATGCTTAATAAGTAGATCTTCTTCTGGTCAACTTTTGTAATAAATTATTTTATGGGAAACTATTATTTAACAAATATCTAAATTTTAAAAAGTATGCAAGAGTGTGACTGCATATAATGCAAATATTTATAAAAGATACTTTACTCCAGTTTTTACTTTAAGAAACCTGTTAGGTATGATGTCAGCAGATATTACACATGTCAAGTTTTCAAATGTGGAAGTCTGACAAATAAAATGCACTTCTTTCCAGTTTTATTTATTATGTTGTCATGCTAAAAATGCCACACATTCTAAAAAATACAGTATATACTACAGCAACAAATTAAAATTAATCATCTCCTAGCCTTGAGATTTTTCATATTGTGCTAAAAAAGACAGATATAAAAATTGAAATATTTTATAATATAAATTTATATGATGGAGGAGGAGAATTGAGTCATAAGAAGAAAGCAGGTCACTATTTCTATTAGAGAAATACTAAATCTATTTCTTTTTAATCTTTTAAATATATTTTATCTATTTTATGTTTTGGTGTCTTAACTATAGACTAAAATTATGTGCTAATATAATATTAGATATTCACGGCACACTGATGGACAGTTTCCATACAAGGGAGTAGAACCATCTGGACCACAGTATTTATTTTCTTATCAGCCACACTTCACTTATAAGGCAATGTGTCAAGCAAAGGATAGCAGCAGAAAAAAAAATGCATTTTGCTAAATATTCTGGAAAGACATTTCAGATAAAAGTTGCTTTTTTTTTTTTTTTTTTAACAGAGAATTTAGTTTCTGGAAAGCAAAACAGATGTCAGTGTCCAGAAAAAAACACAGCACAAAACAAAACTTCATCCCTACTACCAAGGTTTTAATTATAGGGTTTTTGTTTGTTTGTTTGAGTTTCTAAGCAGCCACCAGAAGCCAGTGATTGTTTAAAATTCATTGAGAAACAATTCATAGATAACATATGCTGGAAAGTAGAAATTTTTTAGTGGAAATATGTGAGGTACGATTGGTTAGTTTTTGGTACCCATTATATTTTTCTGACAGTAAATATTTAAAAATGGCATGACATATGAAGTTAGTACTTCTTTATAATGAATTTTGTGCATATATCACTTAAAACGTTTATTTTCTGTTAAATACTTCTTAATGCCTTATTTTAATAGTTTAAATAGAATTACATGTAATGTTCTATAAATTTTAGAAGTTTCATTTGATTTATGTGAAATCCTTACCACAGATGAAATGTGATTAGTATTAAGTGATTGTGTAAACCCTAAATTTTATATTACAATTGTTTGTTAAAATAGGTATAATGTTTTTTCAACTCTAGAGGGAGAATATACTCATATATCCCTGGATATTGTTTAACGTTACAGAAAGTTAACAATAGTGACCAGAAGATATTATCATCTCCATGATCATTGCTGTCTCCTAATGGTGCTGTCCAGTGAACTTAGAAACTTGGACTAAATCTCTGAAAGGTATCACAAATTTGTGTATATTTTAAAAGATGTCGACAGACACACACACAAATAAAGTGATTTTTTTTTAATTTTGCTATCTGACTGACAGAAGTAATTTTCCTTTCTTCTTTTAATTATATACATAACTTTGCAACAAAGGTACCTGACAAAGAAAACAGAAAAGGTGTTTTTCTGTCCTAAGAGAAGATAAATCTTTTAGAATGTGTTTTTAAAATATTCAGACCTCCAATTATTTTTAGTTCCTTGAGCTATTAAAATAAGTTTAGTCATGTCAGAACAAGCAATTGCTTCCGTGTGGTTATAGAACCAATTGTTTCCTTTAATATTTTGTTTTAGCCTGTATATTGATTTATCTGGATATGTCTCACTATGATGAATTACAAAGAGGGTGAGTCCTCCTTGCTGAATGCTGAAAGGCATCACAGTATGTATATGTTGTGGCATATGCCACCTAGCTCTGCTGTCTTGGAGCATTTTGAGAAGGCTTATATAGCCAAATCTTTAAGCACATCTGCTGATCCACAGAATCACAAGATAGAGAATGACTTTAAAATTATTCCCCTAAAAAAACACACACACATATACACATGCACACACACACACACAGTGTTTCTTCTCATTATTATGAATAATAAAAACAACCAAGTGGCTCGCATAACATTTTAGAAATACAAGAATATCAATTTCACATATGCACACCAAAAACAAAGTAGGTGACTATCTTGCTTGTATTGTTTAAGATTTCTCTACTTTTGTTTAAAGAAATAACTGATGGAAACAGAAGTAAATATGCCAGTACTTGATAATGAATTAAGATTCAAATAATGCATTACGAAGTTTGTTTTATCCCCTTCCAAATGTACCAATATCATTATTTCATGTCTTACTATTTTCTAAATTGTCTTTTTCCTCCCAATGATGAATTAGGAAGAAAAATATCTAGGTGACAGCCACGTGGAATTATTTTTAGAGTATTTTCTTTTACTGAAATACAAACATAGGGTTTGAATCATAGGGAAGGGTAGTTATTAATGATCATTTTTGATCTACTCTTCTTTTTGCTGCCTCCTTTTATAAAACAAAGTAAACAAATAAAATGCCCAATTGTTTTGAACAAGCTAAGGGCAGCAGGACAGATTCTACATGAAATCAAATGTTTTTTTCAGGGTCTTGTGTGTATATTATAGTCTTAGTAAAGATTGGTCCAGGCTATAGGCTAGAGCTGAGCTTCCAGGACAGTGTTGGGTTGAGCAAGCTGATAAAGTGTAAGGGCTGGCCTGGGCCTTTACGGGAATACACAAAGTAAAATGAAGCAAAGCGATCCTTTGTTTGAAAATAATCGTAGGCAGATATTTTTAACGTTGCACAATTTAAACAGATGGATAATCTTAGAAGATAGTAAGATTTATAAATTAATTGTCTATATAATTATGACAAAAAATTCTACTTAAAAAATAAGTATATGTAAATGATACATGCTTTACTTATGTAACCATTGCATAATTTTAAGCATGTCAGTTTGCTTGCTTCACATAAGCAAGCATCAAATGCTTATTGAAAGCATGTGGCTTACAATAAGGACTTTCTTCCTTATTATGCTACATCTACATTTATAACACAATATTTTCCCGTGTTTAAAGGGAAGTGCATTGATCAATCTGAATTAATTTGGCAATAAAGAGGACAGAATAACAAAGCCATAAACACAGATCCTTTTGTGTCCTGAATTGGTGGGTTCTTGGTCTCACTGACTTCAAGAATGAAGTCACGTACCCTAGCGGTGAGTATTACAGTTCTTAAAGGCATCGTGTCCGGAGTTTGTTCCTTCTGATGTTTGGATGTGTTCAGAGTTTCTTCCTTCTGGTGGGTTTGTGGTCTCGCTGGCTTCAAGAATGAAGCTGCAGACCTTCACAGTGAGTGTTACAGCTCATAAAAACAGTGTGGACCCAAAGAGTGAGCAGTAGCAAGATTTATTGCAAAAAGCGAAAGAACAAAACTTCAACAGTGTGGAAGGGGATCCAAGCAGGTTGCCATGGCTGGTTTAGGCAGCCTGCTTTTATTCCCTTATCTGGCCCCACCCACATCCTGCTGATTGGTCCATTTTACAGAGAGCTGATTGGTCCATTTTACAGAGAGCTGATTGGTCTGTTTTGACAGGGTGCTGATTGGTGTGTTTACAATCCCTGAGCTAGACGCAAAAGTTCTCTAAGTCCCCACTAGATGAGCTAGATACAGAGTGCTGATTGGTGTATTTACAAACCCTGAGCTAGACACAGAGTGCTGATTGGTGCATTTACAAACCTTGAGCTAGCTACAGAGTGCTGACTGGTGTATTCACAATTCCTTAGCTAGACATAAAGGTTCTCCAAGTCCCCACCAGATCAGCTAGACACAGAGAACTGATAGGTGCATTTACAAACCTTGAGCTAGACACAGGGTGCGGATTGGTGCATTTACAAACCTTGAGCTAGACACAGAGTGCTGATTGGTGTGTTCACAATCCCTTAGCTAGACATAAAGATTCTCCAAGTCCCCACCAGATTAGCTAGATACAGAGTGATGATTGGTGCATCCACAAACCCTGAGCTAGACACAGGGTGCTGATTTGTGTGTTTACAAACCTTGAGCTAGATACAGAGTGCTGATTGGTGTATTTACAATCCCTTAGCTAGACATAAAGGTTCATCCAAGTTCCCACTAGACTCAAGAGCCCAGCTGGCTTCACCCAGTGGATCCCGCACCTGTCCGCAGGTGGAGCTGTCTGCCAGTCCCATGCCTTGCGCCCGCACTCCTCGGCCCTTGGGCGGTCGATGGGACCGGGTACCATGGAGCAGGGGGTGCTTCTCGTCCAGGAGGCTCCGGCCGTGCAGGAGCCCACTGCAGGGGTGTGGCAGGAGGCTCAGGCATGGCAGGCTGCAGGTCCTGAGCCCTGCCCCATGGGGAGGCAGCTAAGGTCCGGCGAGAAATCAAGCGCAGCGCCAGTGGGCTGGCAATGCTAGGGGACTGGGTGCACTGTCCACAGCTGCTGGCCCTGGTGCTAAGCCCCTCACTGCCTGGGGCCGGTGGGGCAGCCGGCCGCTCCGAGTGTGGGGCCCGCTGAGCCCACGCCCACCTGGAACTCGCGCTGTCCCGCAAGCGTGCAAGCAGTCCCGGTTCCCGCCCGCTCTCTTTCCACACCTCCCCGCAAGCTGAGGGAGCCGGCTCCTGCCTCGGCCAGCCCAGAAAGGGGCTCCCACAGTGCAGGGGCAGGCTGGAGGGCTCCTCAAGTGCAGCCAGAGTGGGTGCCGAGGCCAAGGAGGCACCGAGAGCGAGCGAGGGCTGTGAGGGATGCCAAACGCTATCACCTCTCACTTTGATTAAATTTCTGTTACTTATTTTGATTATTATTGATGTCCAAATAAAATGAGAGAAGGGAAGAGATAGAATAAATTAATGTGTTTCTATATGTCTGATAAGGATGGGATGGGTAACGCACATCATGTTGGTGAAGAATCAGTATATTTTCATGGAGAAATATTAATTTTCTTTTCAAACAATAATAAAAAATGCACATTATGTAGTTACAAATGCATGGTCTGGTAAGGGAAAAGAATGAAATTTTAATAAGAATATCTAATTAAGTAGCAAAAACATGGAATAAATAGCAACTTGATTAAAATAATGCAAGATAATAAGGGAATACAGGAAAGGATTTTTTTTTAAAAGAAGTTAACATGAAGATGTAAGGAGCACAGTAACTGTATAGGATTCTTACCCTATATATGGATAGAATGATGACTTCTATCAAAAGACAGAGTTCAAATTCATCCGTCTAAGTGCAGGTCATACACAAAAGAATTAAAACCAATCATAACAGCAAAAACTTGAAAATAAAAAGATTGTCAATTAAGCACCTCAAAAATAAAATTTAGAAAATAATGGCTCTGTTAGCATCACACAAGTATATGCTGTAGTTTAAGGTTAAAGGCATGAAACAGTATTGTGTCATGAGAAAATGCACACTTTACAAAAAGATAAAACACTAGTAAACAGGTATATAGATTTGGTAGCTCAGCAGCTAACTTCATAAAGTGAAAATCATTAAAAATGCAAGAACTTCATTTTCCAGAAGACTTTAGAAAGGAAACTTCGAGAGAACAGGGGAAGTTGGCAAAGAATATGCAGATTCCTTGAGGAACTGGCAGCTGATAGTTGGAGTCCCAGAAGCTCACTTATGAATAGAGGAGGAAGTCAAGATGATCTGCCAGTTCAGATAATCAGTGGAAAATCCTCTGCATAAAATCACTTTAGTGATGATGGAAATAGAAAGCTAAGACACTGAATAGCCAGTTGCAATATCCAGTGTGCCAGAGGCATACAAAGAGAGCACTCATTGAAACAGAGTAAGCTGAGCTGTCTCCAAACAGAAATGTGGTATGCTTTTGTCATATTAAGGAAACTGTCATCCTTTTAAAAGGAAAGTATACAGAGTGGAAGATTATAGTGCAGACCTATCATAGGAAAGCTTAAAATTAAATAAACCTGAAACACTTTTTTTCCTACTAAAAATCAGAATTAAAAATCACAAGTTAGAATGCTTACCTCAATCTATACTAATGATGCACCGGGCACCTTATTAAACAAACTGGAAGTAAAAATCAAAATACGTTATATTATTTTTAGATGATTTATAAGTTCCAAGTAGTGAAGAGGAAAAATGACTTATTTCAATAGTTACTAAATCACATTGAACAGTAAACACTTAAGAGGAGCTGGAGGAGGAGGAAGAATGCCTTACTGACCTCTGTAAAGAAAGGGAAAAAAAAAAAAAAGATAACTGCAGGCTGTCTCTCTGGTCTCCTGTACCTTGTACCTGGTCCTAGGACAGGAACACTTTACATTTCTAGGGTTCTGCCTCGGAATGGGTGTGGCTGAGGACACATGTGTTTCTAGTATTCCCATGCCTTCACCATTTGTTTGCCACCAAGATTCTCATCACAGAAAAATTAAAGATGTGAGACTAAATTCTGGAAATGCTGAAAACAGAAAGGGTGTGTCTGCCATGCCAATCCCAGGGAATGCATTCTTTTCTAGGCAGCTGTCCTTTCTCTAATCCAGCGCTCGTTTCTCCAAGCCTATATCTCTCAGGTTATCATCAAGGCTTCGTTCATGTTCACTTAATCGCACAGTGCCTTCATGGATTTCATGCTCAATTACCATTTGCTAAATTCTTTATCTTAGGAAAACATTTTGTAATACTACAAACTCATTTATTAATATTAATTTTATAGAACAAATAATATTTATTTAAGTAAACATATTCTTATTCTAATATACTTTGCATTCTCAATACTTAATGTTTGGAAGATAGCAGGTTTTCTATAAAAAATTTAGCGATTGAGGAACATTTAGTTTCATTTTAAAAATCTGTCACTTACTTTTCTGGTGTCAGGCCCTTAGAAGAGATGACTTCGAAGACAATTTTACAGATTCCTGAAAATGTAAGCTCTATAAGAATAAGAATATTATTTGGATTTTCACAGCTATAGCCGCAGTGCTAATGGCAGTGTGCGGTATATAGAAAGACTTTAAAAAATGTTTGTTGAGTGAAGTGGAAATATTTATTTTCACATTTAATTTAACTATAAAATATAGCAAATATATGGGAAAGAATATGGCAGCCATGCATCTAACTTCCACATATGCCCATATTGGATCCAGATATTTTTATTAATATTTGTTAAAAGAAATAGCTTAATTTCAATCATCTCTAACTTTTGACTTCTTAAGCATACTTTTTAAACTTGAGTGTGTCATTCATAAATATACTTTATATTTTAACACAAAATAGTACATATTGATTTTAATATAGTTATTAATGTACGTTTATATATGAAAATAAATACTTTTAATTCTAGGCTAGTCAGACTTTTAGTCTAAGACCATAAGCATTTTAAGATTTTAAGGCTATAACATTAAAGATTTTTTTTCCCCACATCCTAAAGTTGCTTTTAGTCTTCTTTCCTTAATAACACAGAATAACTCCTGTTTGTCTTCAGCCTTCATTATTTTATTTCTCCTTTTTACCTTTCTTCTTTGTCTGATCTTAGATTCTAAATGATAAAGACAGAAAGAAAAGTCCCGGAGAAGTAGAATAGGAGAGAAAGCATAATCACATTGATATCCTGTGATTAATATTCACTGGAGAATCTTGAGAATGAGAGAATGATTTTAAGATGACACTCAATATCTACTACCAACCATACGGTTATTATATACTATGTTTGCATTTTAATTTTTTCATCAAATAGTTGTCCTTAGTATTTGCCCATAGTCTCAGGCACTGCACTAGGAACAAATCTCCTCCACCTAAGAAGATACATGGGATCCTTGCCTCAGAGAGCTTATTGTCTAGTGAAAAGAAAAAAAAAATAGAGAAAAGTTTAAATGCATTGAAATAAGGATACAGATATAAAAAGATAGGAAATTTTGGGCTGGCCTGTAGCAGAGATGCAACACATTGGAAATTAAATGGTCTAACAGAGACATGAAAAACTTTGCAGAGGTAGTTGCCTTTAAGCACATGTTGAGGAGGAATGTAAAGAAAATACCCAGCATGGAGAACAGTATGTGAGACTTAAAGTATAGAAAAAACCTAGTGTTTTCAGATGGAGGAATAAATTTTGTATGACTAGTTACAAAAGGAAGAATGGCAAAGGATGTAACTGGATAGACAAGGTGGAGCATAGAAAGCCATTGGGAATATATTTTGGTGTGAAATAACCATCGTATGAATTTGATAGGAAGTCTCTTTGTGCTGCAAATCTGAGCAGAGTAACCTGGAGGAAATCGTCTGCCTAGGGAAGTGGTAACGAAGCTGAACATAAATGGATATATTCAGCAAGTGTAGGATATACAATTGACGAGTCTTGGGAATTGATTGGATTTGGGAGAAGATGTAATTAGATGAGATCCAAGTGTATGGTGTTGAAGACATATTGCAAGACATTGTGAATAATATATTAAAACTCTTGCACTCTTTCATCTTTTTCCCATGATCCTTTCTCACAAGTAGTGAGAACCTGTGAGTGGTGGAGTTTTATGTTGAATGCTTGAGCCCTAGCTCACAGATCTAGATTCCGTTCATTTTCTGAACTTTAACAGTGTCTGCTTCTACAGAGGTTAATTAAATGGCATTTTAAAAAAAATAAGCAACTAAAGAATGTCTATTTCTTTTTCCCCAGGAAAGATCATTTAGCAAGAAAAATCTGATTAAGGGGAAATACACAGTGACAGAAAACGGTAATCAAATCTAATTTTCAATAGCTCTCCCACAAATAAGTGTTAAATTAGTTTTCAGGTATCATCTCTATTTCCAAAAGAAATATTTTCAGGAAAGGAACAGAAACACAAAAATTATTGAGCATCTACTTTGTGTTAGAAACTGTTTTAGATTAACGCTGCCACCCTTTATCTCTATACAACTCTCTGAGGCATTTCTATTTTTAAAATAAAAAGAAAAAACTTAAGACTGATAGTGTTTATGTAAATGTAGAGAAGGGGTGGTATTAGAATTAAAATACAAGCTTGCCTCTTCACATTAGACACTTTCAAAAATATACAAAAATATTTCACAAAAATCCAAAAATGTTTTAATTTTTAACTCCCATACATATCAAAATTTAACCTGTAATTAAAAGACATTAAGGTTCCACAAATAAGAGCTTGGAATGTAGGCAATAATAATATTAAGAAATTAAAATAATGAGAAAGTCACAGAAAAGCTTTTCTCAGTATATAACTGGAGGCTAAAACTTGTTGAAGTAACTATAATAAACTTTTAAAAGTTACCAAAATGTCAGTAAAATAGAAATTTTGAGGGGTTAAATGTAATTAATAAATGACATATTTAGCATAATTTAATGTTTATATTTTGTCATTTATTATAAAATGTTATGCTTGATTAATTTAAATAAATATGATAAGAACAAAAAGTAATGATTAAAATAAACAGTAAAATTCTATATTAAACTATTAGTGTATTAAAATGTGTTTGTTTCTTCTAAAATCAAGTATGTTTGCTTGTTTTTTAAACAATAAATACTTACATTTTAATGTTGATTTATATACCAGGCACTCTAAGCAAGTGACAATGTAAATTAGGTAATGTTTTCCATTTTAGAGTTTACATAAATTAGATCCAGATTAATTAATTAACTTGCTTTAAGTAACAAAAATAGTAAATTACTGAGTTAGAATGCAAACCTTTTTCTGTCTGACTCCAAAGTAAGTGTTATTTACTAGTATTTGACCCTCCTATTGTATTTGTAGTTATGCTCAGAATAATCCAGATTGGAATTAAAAAAAAATTAAAAACATTTAATGGGTAGATAGTGGGTGTATATATTTATGGGGCACATGAGGTATTTTATTTTATTTTATTTATTTTTTTTTCAGTGGGATACATATTTATTTATTTATTTTTTTATTATTATTTCTATTATTATTATTATTATTTTTAATTATACTTTAAGTTTTAGGGCACATGTGCACATTGTGCAGGTTAGTTACATATGTATACATATGCCATGCTGGTGCGCTGCACCCACTAACTCGTCATCTAGCATTAGGTATATCTCCCAATGCTATCCCTCCCCCCTCCCCCCTACAGGTATAAAATACATAATAGTCACATCAGAGTAAATAGGGTATCTAGTACCTCAAGCATTTATTTTTTTTGTTATAAACATTCAGATTATAGTCTTATTTATTTTGCAATGTACGATACATTTTTGTGGACTGTAATTGTAGCAGGACGAGCTGCAGACAAAACCTCTCAGACACCGAGTTGTAGAAGGAAGGGCTTTATTCAGCTGGGAGCATTGGCAAGCTACTGCCTTAAAATCCGAGCTCTCCGAGTGCACAATTTCTGTCCCTTTTAAGGGCTCACAACACTAAAGATTTCATAGGAAAGGATCATGATTGATTTGAGCAAGCAGGCAGTACGTGACAGGGGCTGCGTGCACCAGTGGTCAGAGAGAAACAGAACAGGGCAAGGAGTTTCACAATGTTCTTCTATACAGTGTCTGGAATCTATGAATAACATCGGTTTCTAAGTTATGAGTTGATTTTTAACTACTGGATTTAGGCCAGGCAGGCCCAGGCCTGGTTTCAGGCCTGGCGCCAGGCTGCCTGTCTTTGGCTTTACTTCTTTGTTGTTTCTTCTTAAAACAGGTACTGAGTATAAAACAACATGAGAAGGTCTCTCTCTTCCTTCATAATCACATTGTTGTAGTAGCAAAAACTAGATCTAGTATCAAATACTAAATCTTATTCCTTGTATATAACTATATTTTTATACTCATTAACCATCTCTACCTCCCACCACTGCTACCCTTCCTACCCTCTGATAACCATCATCCTACTGCGTCCGGAATTGGTGGGTTCTTGGTCTCACTGACTTCAAGAATGAAGCCGCTGACCCTCGCGGTGAGTGTTACAGTTCTTAAAGGCAGCGTGTCTGGAGTTTGTTCCTTCTGATGTTCGGATGTGTTTGGACTTTCTTCCTTCTGGTGGGATTGTGGTCTCGCTGGCTCAGGAGTGAAGCTGCAGACCTTCGTGGTGAGTGTTACAGTTCTTAAGGCGGTGTGTCTGGAGTTGTTTTTTCCTCCCAGTGGGTTCGTGGTCTCGATGGCTTCAGGAGTGAAGCTGCAGACGTTCACGGTGAGTGTTACAGCTCATAAAGGCAGTGTGGACCCAAAGAATGAGCAGTAGCAAGATTTATTGCAAAGAGCAAAAGAACAAAGCTTCCACAATGTGGAAGGGGACTCCAGAGGGTTGCCACTGCTGGCTGGGGCAGCCTGCTTTTTTTCTCTTATCTGGCCCCACCCACATCCTGCTGATTGGTCCATTTTACAGAGAGCTGATTGGTCTGTTTTACAAAAAGCTGATTGGTCCATTTTGACAGGGTGCTGATTGGTGCATTTACAATCCCTGAGCTAGACACGAAAGTTCTCCAAGTCCCCACTAGATTAGCTAGCTACAGAATGCTGATTGGTGTATTTACAAACCCTGAGCTAGACACAGAGTGTTGATTGGTGCAGTTACAAACCTTGAGCTAGATACAGAGTGCCGACTGGTGTATTCACAATCCCTTAGCTAGACATAAAGGTTCTCCAAGCCCCCACCAGATCAGCTAGACACAGAGTGCAGATTGGTACATTTACAAACCTTGAGCTAGACACAGAGTGCTGATTGGCGTATTTACAATCCCTTAGCTAGACATAAAGGTTCTCCAAGTCCCCACTAGACTCAGGAGCCCAGCTGGCTTCACCCAGTGGATCCCGCGCCAGGGCCGCAGGTAGAGCTGCCTGCCAGTCCCGCACCTTGCGCCCGCACTTCTCAGCCCTTGGGTGGTCAGTGGGACCAGGCACCATGGAGCAGGGGGCGGTGCTTGTCAGGGAGGCTCGGGCTGTGCAGGAGCCCATGGCATGGAGGGGAAGTGCTCAGGCATGGGGGGCTGCAGGTCCTGAGCCCTGCCCCATAGGGAGGCAGCTAAGGCCTGGCAAGAAATCGAGTGCAGCACCACTGGGCCAGCACTGCTGAGGGACCCGACACACCCTCCGCAGCTGCTGGCCCGGGTGCTAAGCCCCTCAGTGCCCTGGGCCGGTGGAGCCGGCCGGCCGCTCTGAGTGCAGGGCCCACGAAGCCCACGCCCACCCGGAACTCACGCTGGCCTGCAAGCGCTGCACGCAGCCCCAGTTCCCGCCCATGCCTCTCCCTCCACCCCTCCCTGCAAGCTGAGTGAGCTGGCTCCAGCCTCGGCCAGCCTAGAAAGGGGCTCCCAAAGTGCAGCGGCAGGCTGAAGGGCTTCTCAAGTGTGGCCAGAGTGGGCGCTGAGGCCGAGGAGGCACTGAGAGCGAGCGAGGGCTGTGAGGGCTGCCAGCATGCTGTCACCTCTCACTACTGTACCTCTGAGTTCAATTGTTTTAATTATAACTACCATAGTGAGCAGAAATATCTGTTTCTTTCTGATGTGTGCCTAGCACTTAGAATAGTGTCTGGCCTTAGTAGTACTCAATAGATATCTGTGAAATAAATAAAAAGAAAGAGTTATAACATTGCAATATTATAAAGTTCTTAAGCATTAAATAATATGCTGTGGCTAAGTATTTTAACTTCCCCAGACATAGGTTTTATAAATCATATACACATTTGTAGAAGCTATAGCAGAGTCAATACTATTGACCAAATGTAAAATTCAATTGTTTAGTATTTTCCAAAAGTTAGCTTTAAAATTGTAATATTTTATCACATAATATAGAAAAAATAATGAGAAGACAATTGTATACACACACACCCACATCTGTAAAATTTAACATTATTTTAAAATTCAAATCAATATATTTCAATATTATTTTTAATATGAAAATATTTGAAGCACAATATTACTACACACCATTATCTATTCATGTTTATTAGGCATGTTGAAGTTTGATTTCTTTACCATAACCTTGAAGAAAGGTACAGTCAGAGTGATGCCCTACTGATGCCAAAAACAAAATTTAAACAACCTGAAAATATTTGTAGAGCCTATTTTTAAAACTAAATAGTAAACCTTATGAAAAAGCCACTTTCAAAGTAGAAACCTAGATTGATGTCCATTTTCTCTTCATAGTTTTAACATTAAAGTAAACAAATGATGTTTTCCTGTCATACTTAAAAAGGGCAATTGAATAAACTTCAAAGAATTCTGGAATCTTTATTGCTTTGTTCTTAGTGACAATGACAACAGCTGCTATGTAAAGCAAATAAATACCTTGGACATCAGACAGGAGGCTGGAAGAACATATCCCTGGGGTTGCTTTATTTGTTGGCTGCCTTTCTAATTATCTGCTATGCTTAAGATATTTCTTTAATAATTGATCTTCCTGTGAGGGGTTCGTTCTGGAACAGCATCATAAATGCAAATAGAACTGAAACTCAAAGTCTTTCACGTCTGCTTATGTGGATCACAAAGCCCAGTAGAACATTAGATAGTTAATGAAATCTGTATTTTATGGATTCCAGAAAAGTGTGTTCTTTAAAGTTTGTGAAGATGTACCCAGAGATAATCACACCTAACTTTTGGGAACTGAAGCAATAGACTGAAATTAACACATAAATAGAATTTCCACAATACACTTATATGCCAAAACCTTAAAAAGTTCATTTTAATTGTACAAGATGGGAACATTTTGGTAAGCTATATGACATGTTCTGAAATTTTAGAAAGAGGATACCAGCATATTGTAATCTGATTGTTTATTACAAAAGTATTAATATTAATCACTATGCTGTAATGTAGCTGTCAGGCCTCTGAGCCCAAGCTAAGCCATCATATCCCCTGTGACCTGCACGTATACATCCAGATGGCCTAAAGTAACTGAAGAATCACAAAAGAAGTGATATTTAAATGGCCTTTTCCTGCCTTCACTGATGACATTCCACCACAAAAGAAGTGAAAATGGCTGGTCCTTGCCTTAACTGATGACATTACTTTGTGAAATTCCTTCTCCTGGCTCATCCTGGCTCAAAAAGCTCTCCTACTGAGCACGTTGTGACCCCCTACTCCTGCCCACCAGAGAACAACCCCCCTTTTTCCTTTACCTACCCAAATCTTATAAAACAGCACCACCCCTATCTCCCTTCGCTGACTTTCTTTTCGACTCAGCCCATCTGCACCCAGGTGAAATAAACAGACCTGTTACTCACACAAAGCCAGTTTCGTGGTCTTTGTGTGAGGGACGCGAGTGAAATTTTGGTGCCGTGACTTGGATCAGGGGACCTCCCTTAGGAGATCAATCCCCTGTTCTTCTGCTCTTTGTTCCATGAGAAAGATCCACCTACGACCTCAGGTCCTCAGACCGACCAGCCCAAGGAACATCACACCAATTTTAAATCAGGTAAGCGGCCTCTTTTTACCCTCTTCTCCAACCTCTCTCACTATCCCTCAACCTCTTTCTCCTTTCAATCTTGGCGCCACACTTCAATCTCTCCCTTCTCTTAATTTCAGTTCCTTTCCTTTTCTCATAGAGACAGGAGACGTGTTTTATCCATAGACCCAAATCTCCGGTGCCAGTCACGGACTCGGGAAGACAGTCTTCCCTTGGTGTTTAATCATGCGGGGATGCCTGCCTGATTATTCACCCACATTTCAGAGGTGTCTGACTACACGGGGATGCCTGCCTTGGTCCTTCACCCTTAGCGGCAAGTACTGCTTTTCTGGGGGGCAAGAACCCCCTGACCCCTTCTCTCCATGTCTCTACCCCTTCTCCACTTTTCTGGAAGGCAATAACCCCCCGACCCCTTCTCCTTCACCCTTAGTTGCAAGTATCACTTTTCTAGGGAGCAAGAACCCCCCGACCCCTACTCTCTGTGTCTCTACCCCTTCTCCACTTTCCTGGGGGCAAGCATCCCCCACCGCTTCTCTCCATGTCTCTATTCTCTCTTTTCTCTGGGCTTGCCTCCTTCACTATGGGCACCCTTCCACCCTCCATTCCTCCTTCTCCTCCCTTAGCCTGTGTTCTCAAGAACTTAAAACCTCTTCAACTCACACCTGACCTAAACCTAAACACCTTATTTACTTCTACAATGCTGCTTGACCCCAATACAAATTCAACAGTCGTTCCAAATAGCCAGAAAACAGCACTTTTGATTTTTCCTTTCTACAAGATCTAGATAATTCTTATCATAAAATAGGCAAACGGTCTGAGGTGCCTGATGTCCAGGCATTCTTTTACACATCAATCCTTCCCTAGCCTCTGTTCCCAATGCAACTCATCCCAAATCTTCCTTCTTTCCCTCCCGCCTGTCCCCTCAGTCCCAACCCCAAGCGTCGCTGAGTCTTTCCTCTTTCCAATCTTCCTTTTCTACAGACCCATCTGACCTCTCCCCTCTTCCCCAGGCTGTTCCTTTCCAGGCCGAGCTAGGTCCCAATTCTTCCTCAGCCTCTGCTCCTCCACCCTATAATCCTTTTATCACCTACCCTCCTCATACCCAGTCTGGCTTACAGTTTCGTTCTGCCACCTGCCCAGCAATTTCCTCTTAAAAAGGTGGCTGGAGTTAAAGGCATAGTCAAGGTTAATACTCCTTTTTCTTTATCTGACCTCTCCCAAATCAGTTAGCATTTAGACTCTTTTTCATCAAATATGAAAAACCCAGCCCAGTTCATGGCCCGTTTAGCAGCAACCCTGAGACGCTTTACAGCCCTAGACCTTAAAAAGTCAAAAGGCTGTCTTATTCTCAATATACATTTTATTACCCAATCTGCTCCTGACATTAAATAAATTACCAAAAATTAAATTCCAGCCCTCAAACTCCACAACAGGACTTAATTAACCTCACCTTCAAAGTGTACAATAATAGAGTAGAGGCAGCCAAGTAGCAATGTATTTCTGAGTTGTAATTCCTTGCCTCCACTGCAAGACAAACCCCAGCCACATCTCCAGCACACAAGAACTCCAGACGCCTGAACCGCAGCTGCCAGGGATTCCTCCAGAACCTCCTCCCCCAGGAGCTTGCTACAAGTGCCAGAAATCTGGCCACTGTGCCAAGGAATGCCCACAGCCTGGGATTCCTCCTAAGCCATGTCCCATCTGTGCAGGACCCCACTGAAAATCGAACTGTTCAACTTACCTGGCAGTCACTTCCAGTGCCCCTGGAACTCTGGCCCAAGGCTTTCTGACTCCTTCCCAGATCTTCTTGGCTCAGCAGCTGAAGACCGACACTGCCCAATTGCCTTGGAAGCTTCCTGGACCATCACAGATGCTTTAAGGTAATTCTTACAGTAGAAGGTAAGTCTGTCCCCTTCTTAATCAATATGAAGGCTACCCACTCCACATTACCTTCTTTTCAAGGGCCTGTTTCCTTTGCCTCCATAACTGTTGTGGGTATTGACGGCCAGGCTTCTAAACATCTTAAAACTCCCCAACTCTAGTGCCAACTTAGACAACATTCTTTTATGCACTCTTTTTTAGTTATCCCCACCTGTCTAGTTCCATTATTAGGCCAAGACATTTTAACTAAATTATCTGCTTCACTGTTCCTGAACTGCAGCCACACGTCATTGCCGCCCTTTTCCCCAGTTCAAAGCCTCCTTTGCATCCTCCTCTCATATCCCCCAACCTTAACCCACAAGTATAGGATACCTCTACTCCCTCCTTGGCAACCGATCATGCACCCCCTTACCATCTCATTAAAACCTAATCACCCTTACTCCACTCAACGCCAATATCCCATCCTGCAGCACGCATTAAAAGGATTAAAGCCTGTTATCACTCACCTGCTACAGCAAGGCCTTTGAAGCCTATAAACTCTCCTTACAATTCCATTTCACCTGTCCTAAAACCAGACAAGGCTTACAGGTTACTTCAGGATCTGCACATTATCAACCAAATTGTTTTGCCTCTCCACCCTGTGGTGCCAAACCCATATACTCTCCTATCCTCAATACCTCCCTCTACAACCCATTATTCTGTTCTGGCTCTCAAACATGCTTTCTTTACTATTCCTTTGCACCTTTCATCCTAACCTCTCTTCCTCTCACTTGGAGTGACCCTGATACCCATTAGGCTCAGCAAATTACCTGGGCTGTACTGCTGCAAGGCTTCACAGACAGCTCCCATTACTTCAGTCAAGCCCAAATTTCTTCCTCATCTGTTACCTATCTCAGCATAATTCTCATGAAAACAGACCTGCTCTCTCTGCTGATCATGTCCAACTGATCTCTCAAACCCCAACACCTTCTACAAAACAACAATTCCTTTCCTTCCTAGGCATGCTTAGGTACTTTCGACTTTAGATACCTGGTTTTGCCATCCTAACAAAACCATTATATAAACTCACAAAAGGAAACTTAGCTGACCCCATAGATCCTAAATCCTTTCCCCACTCCTCTTTCCATTCCTTGAAGACAGCTTTAGAGACTGCCCCCGCCCTAGCTCTCCCTGACTCATCCCAACCCTTTTGATTACCCACAGCCGAAGTGCAGGTCTGTGCGGTTGGAATTCTTACACAAGAACCAGGACCGTGCGCTGTAGCCTTTTTATCCAAACTTGACCTCACTGTTTTAGCCTAGCCCTCATGTCTGCATGCAGTGGCTGCCACTGCCTTAATACTTTTAGAGGCCCTCTAAATCACAAACTATGCTCAACTCACTCTCTACAGTTCTCATAACTTCCAAACTCTATTTTCTTCCTCACACCTGACACATATACTTTCTGATCTCTAGCTCCTTCAGCTGTACTCTTTGTTGAGTCTCCTACAATTACCATTGTTCCTGGCCTGGACCTCAATCCGGCCTCCCACATTATTCCTGATACCACACCTGGCCCCCATGACTGCATCTCTCTGATCCACCTGACATTCACCCCATTTCCCCCTATTTCCTTCTTTCCTGTTCCTCACTGTGATCACACTTGGTTTATTGATGGCAGTTCCACCAGGCCTAATCACCACACTCCAGCAAAGGCAGGCTATGCTATAGTACAAGCCACTAGCCCACCTCTTAGAAGCTCTCATTTCCTTTCCATCGTGGAAATCTATCCTTAAGGAAATAATTTCTCTGTGTTCCATCTGCTATTCTACTACTCCTTAGGGATTATTCAGGCCCCCTACCTTCCCTACACATCAAGCTCTGGGATTTGCCCCTGCCCAGGACTGGCAAATTGGCTTTACTCAACATGCCCTGAGTCAGGAAACTAAAATACCTCTTGGTCTAAGTAGACACTTTAACTGGATAGGTAGAGGACTTTCCCACAGGGTCTAAGATGGCCACGGTCATTTCTTCCCTTCTGTCAGACATAATTCCTCGATTTGGCCTTCCCACCTCTATACAGACGTATAATGGACCGGCCTTTATTAGTCAAATCACCCAAGCAGTTTCTCAGACTCTTAGTATTCAGTGAACTAATGGTCTTTTAAAAACACACCTCACCAAGCTCAGCCGTCAACTTAAAAAGGACTGGATAATACTTTTACCACTTGCCCTTCTCAGAATTCAAGCTTGTTCTCGGAATGCTACAAGGTACAGCCCATTTGAGCTCCTGTATAGACACTCCTTTTTATTAGGCCCCAGTCTCATTCCAGACACCAGACCAACTTAGACTGCGCCCCGCCCCCCACAAAAAAAAACTACTTGTCATCCCTGCTATATTCTGTCTAGTCATACTCCTATTCACCATTCTCAACTACTCATAAATGCCCTGCTCTTGTTTACACTGCCGGTTTACACTGTTTCTCCAAGCCATCACAGCTGATATCTCCTGATGCTATCCCCAAACCGCCACTCTTAACTCCCTCTTAAAGTAATTAAGTAATCTTTCCTGGCAGGGCTATGCTGAAACTCCTTAGGCACTCTCTAGTTAGATGTCCTAGGTCCTCCCAATTCTTAGTCCTTTAATACCTGTTTTTCTCCTTGTCTTATTCCGTTCTTTTTTCAATTCATACAAAACCATATCCAGGCCATCACCAATAATTCTACACCACAAATGTTTCTTCTAACAACCCCACAATATCACCCCTTACCACAAAATCTTCCTTCAGCTTAATCTCTTCCACTCTAGGTTCCCTTGCCACCCCTAATCCCGCTCGAAGCAGCCCTGAGAAACATCACCCGTTGTCTCTCCATACCACCCCCAAAAATTTTCTCCCCAACACTTCAACACTATTATGTTTTATTTTTCTTATTAATATAAGAAGACAGGAATGTCAGGCCTCTGAGCCCAAGCTAAGCCATCATATCCCCTGTGACCTGCATGTATACATCCAGATGGCCTGAAGTAAGTGAAGAATCACAAAAGAAGTGATATTTAAATGGCCTGTTCCTGCCTTAACTGATGACATTACTTTGTGAAATTCCTTCTCCTGGCTCATCCTGGCTCAAAAAGCTCCCCCACTGAGCACCCTGTGACCCACCCCCCCACTCCTGCCGGCCAGAGAACAATCCCCCTTTTTCCTTTACCTACCCAAATCTTATAAAACGGCCCCACCCCATCTCCCTTTGCTGACTCTCTTTTCGACTCAGCCCACCTGCACACAGGTGAAATAAACAGCCTTGTTGCTCACACAAAGCCTGTTTGGTGGTCTCTTCACATGGACACGAGTGAAAGTAACTATTTTGTTAAACATATTGGTCTCAATATGCAAGTCATAGGGCAAATTTTTCTTTTTCCATTCCCTTCAAACATACTCATTAGCTTGGTTCTGTGTGCTTCTGGGACAAAATCACCAATAGGTCTTCAGGTATTTCCAAGGCTCAAAATTTCTTTTATTGAGATGAAATTCCGAGTTACCGTGATAATCACGACTCTCAACTTCAACAAAATTAAAGCTTTCTTTCTTCTCCCACTGAATGCTGCTTCAAGATTGGAGGTCTGCACTTGCTAAGAAAAAAAAGTCAGTTTGTCTCCTTATTTTGCCAACTCCCTCCTTAAGCCCTAGCTTCATTTTCTGAGCCCATAACACTCATTAAGAGTTTATTAAGAGTGCAGGTAATTTGGGGTAAGAGATGCAGCCTAATTCTATTTTGATCTGATATTGGCCCTCTTTCAAATTGGCAGATATTGAATGCTGACTTTTCTATTGAGGGATTTTCTCTGTTTCTCAGAGGATCCCTCCCCCATCCCCCAGGCAGTTCCACCTGCAGCTTGCTTGTTGATGTCTCCTCCAGCTGACTTTTTATGATTCCTTTTCCCAGAACTCAGCCTTGGCTTAACAGGAAACTCAACGTAGGTTTCTCAGTCCTAGTTCAATTGGGTGAGGTCCCCTGAGAACCGGCATATTCTCTTGTGGTTGTGCATCTGGTCCAAAGAAAACATGACACTTTGCCCTCCTCTCAGTTCTGTGAATTCATGAAAATAATAATATTCTTTTATCTTTATAACTCTCAGGTGTGTTTAAAACTCACTTCTGTGGCTTTCAATATCTAGAGATATATAAAAAGTTTTGTTAATTGTTCCTCACCAAAGTCTTCTCAGTTGGTGTAAGGATGAAAAGAACACAGCATTCCAGCACTTTTGCTAATGAAATTCTGTTTGCCTTTTTTAGCTGAATCCTCAATTAAATAACCACTACATCCATATCCTCAAAATAAATAATGAACTAAGAGTTCAAAATGTTTTGTATGGTCCTTCTTTGCAATTTCCTTATACATCTTCTAGCATATTCCATTGGCATATACATGTTCTTGGTCTTACAGACTCAACCAGTGAGAATCATGCCATTTTAATCAGTTGTTGACTCCTTCAAATGATGGTCACACAGTAAAGCAGCAGCAGCACCACCGAAGAATATGCTTCCACTATCACCACATTTGCTATGTTCTGAGCCTCATAAATCCAAGCAAGGACTCTTTGATGCCATTTTCAGAGGAGGATATTATTACGGATTGAATGCTTGTGTCCCCCCAAACTCATATATTGAGGTCCTAGTGCCTAATATGATAGTATTTGAAGATGGAGCCTTTTGGGGGTAATTCGGGTTAGATGAGATTATGTGTGTGGCCCTCATAATATGATTAGTGTCATAAGATGAGTAAGAGAGAAAAAGCCATGTGAAAATACAGCTAGAGGATGGCTCTCCACAAGCCAGGAGGAGAACTCTCACCAGGAACTGAATGAGCTGATGCCTTAATCTTGGACTTCCAACCCTCCAGGACTGTGAGAAATAAATTTCTGTTATTTGAGCCACCTAGTATATGGCATTTTATTTGGTCAGCCTGAGCTGACTAAGATACCATGACTTATAAATCTTGGGAACTTGCCAAAAATGTCACAGCTTAGAGGTTGAGTCAGGATTCAAACCTACTAGGGCAGTTTAAATGCAGTCTCCTGCTTTTTTGATATTGCCCTCTGTTTTCTCCTGTTGCTTTGAACTGCTTGGATGAGGTTTTGTGTTAATGTTAACAATTTTTCTGTTTTTTTTATATTGTATCCACTCTTTCATTAAATACTTCCCAGTATCTCTAGATTGGGCTGAGACTTACTCCCATTGCCTACCCCAGCAGTACCCCTGTTCATCTTTTTGATTTGAATTTATATACTGTTTTAGACAGCAAATATGTGCACATGCACTGTGTATATTGTATGCATATATGTGCTATGTATTTTTATTTATAATATGTTAAAGTAATGTCTACTGCCATGTTTTATTAATTACTAACATCTAGAGCCTGAAAATTGATGTCTATTCCTCTGCAGGTAATTACATATTTGAAACCCTTCTATGAGCCACATGTACAGACCTGAATATACAGTCTTATTTTTATTAACATGGTTTTTCAGATATCTTCAAGGATTCAAGCTGTTTTGGGGTAATTCATGTTCATGTTAAATGATGATTGATAAAGCTATGTAATGATTAACATTTTTGATAAATACATCAAATCAACAAAACAAAAGCCAGAAATATAATAAGATGGAGGATATAATGCTGTAAATCCTAGCAGGCCCTCTCTACTATTTTCCAGGTTTAGGAAGTCTTCTTTTTACAGAAGTGAATAAATTGGAGTAGCTCCAGCCCACTGTTAGCATTATGCTTAGCGACCCTGCACAGAAAATCTGTTCAAATTCCCTGAATCCAATTAAGTTGCTGACATAGTTTCTTATCTGATTACAAACAGCTTAAATTGCTGTTAAATGATTTCAATAATCCACATATAACTTGAAATCAGTTAAGTATTTTTATATTTTTTTCTTCAAAGATGAAATTTACTTGGCATTTATTCAAGTATACAAGGAAGAGCAACAGAAAAGTTGAAAGGGATTAGATGTAATGATCACAAAACTTATTATAATTAAAATATTCCTGTGAAGATCCTGGTGGGATGTTAAACTTCAGAATGTGTAATATATTTCCGTTTGCCTTTGATCATTCATGTGTTTAACTTACTGAGAAGTAAAAAAAAAAAAAGAAAATACATTTTTTTCTGAACACCTAAGTTTACTTATTCAAATGAATTACATTTGAAAAAGAAAATTGATAGAAATCTACTCTATAAAAATGAGTTGAAATAAATCACTTAAATTTATTTCCAGTTCAAGAATTATTTTTAGATATGACTTTTTAATTTCTTTCAAAAACTAGAAAGCACTCTTGAAACCTGATTGATATTTTTTGGAAAGAAAACTAAAAAGACAAGAGGTTGTACGAATGTAAGGCATAGTCTCAGTTTCCTGACCAAATGTTGTTCAAGAGAAAAGCTAGAAATCAGATACTGAGGTCACAAATGTTTTCAGCATTTCTAACTGTATATTTGATGTCCTATAACCTAGACCACACATTTTTAACTGCTAAAACTTAGGCAATTTTTATTACGGGATAATACTGACAGGATAAAAAGCAGTTTGAACAGCAAGCTGTCATTAGCAACAATGGAAAAACCACATCAGAAACCTGACCTAGTGTATATATGATATCCTCCTGTGTGTTAAAACTTTAAAACAGTGTTTATTGCCCTAAGAATAAGGAGGGGGTAGAAGGACATGCTGTTGTTGTTTCATATTTTTACTCCATTAGCAAGTGACATTATTCAAGCCTCATTATTGCTCCTAATGAAGCAATACAACAAAGCTAAACTTCAAGACAGTTTAAAATATTTGAGTGAGTTCCCGCAGTGCATTGAACTTGGTGAGAAAGCTTTTGCAAAAAGTGCAAAACCAGAGAACAGTCTTTCAAGTATCTTAATTTCCATGATAAACAGAGACACTTCTAGTTCAATATTTGGCTAAAACTGGTAGTGATATAAATAACACAAGAGCTATTTGCAAGGCCATTTATTTTTCTTGTTGCTTCTGCTAATAGCACTTTTGTGATAGGGTTTGTGGACAAGGCAACAGACAACAAAACTACTTCCTTGAAATCTACATGTCACCAGGAAGGTATGCTTGTCAAGGAAAACAATGATGAAGACATTGATGCAAAATATACAAGTTTAGAGTACTGTTAAGCTGCTCTGGTTGTAATTCCTCACTGTATAAACTTTCCATGAGGCAGCAAAAGGTACAGAGGCCTCATTTTTATACAGTCCCATTACCATATGTAAAAAAGACAATAGTAATGTTCTAAAATGTAACTTAAATTTTAAAAAAAGCCTCCTGTTATCAGCCTTCAAAGTACAACGAAGTTAAGTTGAATGAAATTATCTCCGAAATACGTAATATTAAAGTTAAGATATTCACATATTAAATGGGTAATTAATAAGACAAAAAGTGAAAAACTAATCTAAGCCACAGAATAGTTACATAAATAGGTGATAAAGTTGAAAGTTGTAGAAATTTAATAAAAGAAACAGAGAGCTGAAAACCAGAAAGGTAGAGTAAAGGAATATATAAAAAAGATCATAACCATGCCATTAAGGCATAAATATTCTATTGATTAATGCAAGTCAGCAGAATAAATGAAAATTTATGGATTGACTACATTTCAGATTGAAGTTACAGTGAGATGTGACTACATCCTTGGACTCCAAATTTCCATTTGCAATGTACATATATTTTTCATGTAAAAGAAAATTTAAAATAAAAAGTATTATTTGGAAATTTATTCCAAAAATTTATTCTTGGTATTTGAGAAAATTTTTGATAAAGAGAAGGAATAACAGGCAAAAACACAAACAAAAACAAAAAGTGTTAGTCTTTTTAGAGACACTAACACTACATTGTTTCCTTCATACGTGTCCGTGTGAAGAGACCACCAAACAGGCTTTGTGTGAGCAATAAAGCTTTTAATCACCTGGGTGCAGGCAGGCTGAGTCCGAAAAGAGAGTCAGCAAAGAGAGTCAGCAAAGAGAGTCAGCAAAGACAGACAGGGGTGGGGCCGTTTTATAAGATTTGGGTAGGTAAAGGAAAATTACAGTCAAAGGGGGGTTGTTCTCTGTCGAGCAGGAGTAGGGGTCACAAGGTGCTCAGTAGGGGAGGTTTTGAGCCAGGATGAGCCAGGAGAAGGAATTTCACAAGACAATGTCATCAGTTAAGGCAGGAACAGGCCATTTTCACTTCTTTTGTGGTGGAATGTCATCAGTTAAGGCAGGAACTGGCCATCTGAATGTGTACGTGCAGGTCACAGGGGATATGATGGCTTAGCTTGGGCTCAGAGGCCTGACATTCCTGTCTTCTTATATTAATAAGAAAAACAAAACGAAATAGTGGTAAAGTGTTGGGATGGCAAAAATTTTGGGGGATGCTATGGAGAGATAATGGGCGATGTTTCTCAGGGCTGCTTCAAGCAGGATTAGGGGTGGCATGGGAACCTAGAGTGGAAGAGATTAAACTGAAGGAAGATTCTGTGGTAAGGGGTGATATTGTGGGACTGTTAGAAGATATGGTTTTGTATGAACTGAAAAACTAAACGGAATAAGGAGAAAAACAGGTATTAAAGATCTAAGAATTGGGAGGACCCAGGACATCTAATTAGAGAGTGCCTAAGGAGATTCAGCATAGTCCTGCCAGCAAAGATGATTTAAGAGTGGCAGTTTGGGGATAGCACCAGGAGATATCAGCTGTGATGGGTTGGAGAAACAGTGTAAACTGGCAGTGTAAGCAAGAGCAGGGCATATATGAGTAGTTGAGAACAGTGAATAGGAGTATGACTAGACAGAAGATAGTAGGGATGACAAGTTTTTTGGGGCACAGTCCAAGTTGGTCTGGTGTCTGGAATGAGACTGGGGCTTAATAAAAAAGAGTGTCTATACAGGAGCTTAAATGGGCTGTACCTTGTAGCATTCCAAGGACAGGTCAGAATTCTGAGAAGGGAAGGTGGTAAAAGGCTAAACCGAGGAATTATGTCTGACAGAAGGGAAGAAATGACTGTGGTGGCCTTCTCAGACCTTGTAGGAAAGACCTCTACTTATCCAGTGAAAATGTCTACTTAGACTAAGAGGTATTTTTGTTTTCTGACTCGGTGCATGTTGAGTAAAGCTAATTTGCCAGTCCTGGGCAAATGGTAATTGTGGGACTTAACAAAGAGTGAGTACAGCTGAAGGAGCTGGGGATCAGAAAGTATATGTATCAGGTGTGAGGAAGAAAATAGCTTTTGGAAGTTATGAGAGCTGTAGAGAGTGAGTTGAGCATAGTTTGTGATTTTGAGGGCCTGTAAAAGTATTAAAGCAGCGGCAGCCACTGCACGCAGATATGAGGGCTAGGCTAAAACAGTAAGGTCAAGTTGTTTGGACAGAAAGGCTACAGGACACAATCCTGGTCCTTGTGTTAGAATGCACAGCTCTGCACTTCAGCTGTGTGTAATGAAAAGGGTTGGGATGAGTCAGGGAGAGCTAGGGCGGGGGCAGTCTCTAAAGCTGTCTTCAAGGAATGCAAAGAGGAGTGGGGAAAGGATTTAGGATCTATGGGGTCAGCTAGGTTTCCTTTCGTGAGTTTATATAATGGTTTTGTTAGGATGGCAAAACCAGGTATCCAAAGGCGAAAGTATCCAACCATGCCCAGGAAGGAAAGGAGTTGTTTTTTTGTAGAAGGGGTTGGGGTTTGAGAGCACTTGTGTTTTTATGTAGAATTATGCTGAGGTAGGTAATGGATGGAGAAGAAATTTGAGCTTTGGAGGGGGATACCTGATATCCTTTGGAGAATAAATGCTGAAGGAGCAGAAGTATGTCTTGTTGAGAAGATTCAAAGGAGGGGCTACAAAGAAGAAGGTCATCAATATATTGAATAAGGTGAGAAGCAGAGGGGTGGAAAGAAAGTAAATCACGAGAAACAGCTTGGCTGAAGTAATGAGGGCTGTCCATGAAACCTTGCAGCAGCACAGCCCAGGTAAGCTGCTGGGACTGATGGGTGTCATGGTCAGTCTGAAAGCAAAGAGAGGCTGGGATGAGGGGTGCAGTGGAATTGTGAAAAAAGCATCTTTAAGATCAAGAATGGAATAGTGAGTTGTGGAGGGAGGTATTGAGAACAAAAGAATGTACAGGTTGGGCACCACAGGGTTGATAGGCAAAACAATTTGGTTGATAAGGCGCATATCCTGAACTAATCTGTAAGACTTGTCCGGTTTTTGGACAGGTAAAATGGGGGAACTGTAAGGAGAGTTTATAGGTTTTAGAAGCCCATGCTGTAACAGGTGAGTGATAACAGGCTTTAATCCTTTTAAAGCGTGCTGTGGGATGGGATATTGGCGTTGAGCAGGGTAAGGGTGATTAGGTTTTAATGGGATGGTAATGGGCATGTGATCTGTTGCCAGGGAAGGAGTAGAGATGTCCCATACTTGTGGGTTAAGATGGGGGGATATGAGAGGAAGACGCAAAGGAGGCTTTGGATTGGGAAGAAGTGCGGCAATGAGATGTGGCTGTAGTCCAGGAATAGTCAGGGAAGCAGATAATTTAGTTAAAGTGTCTCAGCCTAATAAGGAAACTGGACAGGTGGGGATAACTAAAAAGGAGTGCTTAAAAGAGTATTGTCTAAGTTGGCACCAGAGTTGGGGAGTTTTAAGAGGTTTAGAAGCCTGGCCTTCAATACCCACAACAGTTATGGAGGCAAGAGAGACAGGCTGTTGAAAAGAAGGTAATGTGGAGTGGGTAGCCTTCGTATTGATTAAGAAGGGGATGGACTTACCCTTCACTGTGAGAGTTACCTAAAGCTCGGTGTCGGTGTTGGTCTAGGAGCTTCCGAGACGATTGGGCAGTGTCAGTCTTCAGCCGCTAAGCTGAGAAGATCTGGGAAGGAGTCAGAGAGAGTTGGGCCGGAGTTCCAGGGGCTCTGAAAGTGGCTGCCAGGTGAGTTGAACAGTCCGATTTTCAGTGGGGTCCTGCACAGATGGGATGTGGCTTAGGAGGAATCCCGGGCTGTGGGCATTCCTTGGCCCGGTGGCCAGATTTCTGGCACTTGTAGCAAGCTACTGGGGGAGGAGGTTCTGGAGGAATGCCTGGCTGCTGCGGTTCAGGCGTTTGGAAGTTCTTGTGTGCTGGAGATGTGGCTCGGGTTTGTCTCACAGTGGAGGCAAGGAATTGCAACTCAGAAATATGTTGCTACTTGGCTGCCTCTATTATTGTACACCTCGAAGGCGAGGTTAATTAAGTCCTGTTGTGGGGTTTGAGGGCTGGAATTTAATTTTTGGAGTTTTATTTAATGTCGGGCGCAGATTGGATAATAAAATGTATATTGAAAATAAGACGGCCTTTTGACCTTTTAGGGTCTAGGGCTGTAAAGCGTCTCAGGGTTGCTGCCAAATGAGCCATGAACTGGGCTGGATTTTTATATTTGATGAAAAAGAGCCTAAATGCTATCTGATTTGGGATAAAAAAAAAAAGGAGCATTAACCTTGACTATGCCTTTAGCTCCAGCCACCTTCTTAAGAGTAAATTGCTGGGCAGGTGGGGGAGGGCTAGTCACGGAACGAAACTGTAAGCCAGACCCGGTGTGAGGAGGGGAGGTGATAAAAGGATTATAGGGTGGAGGAGCAGAGGCTGAGGAAGAATTGGGACCTAGCTTGGCCTGGCAAGGAGGGGAGAGGTCAGATGGGTCTGTAGAAAAGGAAGATTAGAAAGACTCGGCGACACTTGGGGTTGGGACTGAGGGGACAGGCGGGAGGGAAAGAAGGAGGATTTGGGAGGAATCGCATTGGGAACAGAGACTAGAGAGGGACTGATGTGTAAAAGAATGCCTGGATATCAGGCACCACAGACCGTTTACCCATTTTACGGCAATAATTATTTAGATCTTGTAGGATGGAAAAATTGAAAGTGCCATTTTCTGGCTATTTGGAACCATTGTTAAGTTTGTATTGGGGTCAAGCGGCATTGCAGAAGACAATAAGGCATTTAGGTTTTAGGTCAGGTGTGAGATGAAGAGGTTTTAAATTCTTGAGAACACAGGCTAAGGGAGAAGAAGGAGGAATGGAAGGTGGAAGCTTGCCCATAGTGAAGGAGGCAAGCCCAGAGAAAAGAGAGTAGAGACATGGAGAAGGGGTGGGGGCTTCTTGCCCTCCAGAAAAGCAGAGAAGGGGTCGGGCTGCAGTAATAAGGGGTTGGGGCACAGAGATAAGAGGTTGGGGCGCAGAGATAAGGGATCGGGGCACAGAGGTAAGAGGTTGGGGTGCGGAAATAAGGGATCAGGGAGCAGAGATAAGAGATTGGGGTCCCTCCCCCTCCCCCTATTCAATTTTACTTCTGTTTATTTTTAAATTGTACAGAAATCAAACATGAATATGTGATACCTGATGTCATGGTTAGTGCTCTGAATAAAATCAGGTATCCAGAGGTTTATTTTAAATAGATCCCTAAGATTTTTTTTTATTATTGTACTTTAAGTTCTGGGATACATGTGCAGAACCTGCAGGTTTGTTACATAGGTATACATGTGCCAGATCCCTAAGATTTTTGACATTTTGGATACTTGGTTATACAGCATTATCATCCTCTGCCACAGCTTTGTGAACTAACAGACTGCTATGGCATAAATATAGGCACAGTTTTCAGTTCCTTTAGCTATTGACTTGTGAATGCATTCATCTTATTTCAGCAACAATTTGTCACTTACAGGTATAAATCAATCTAACTTGTGCATTCACAATATAAATTTGAAAGTGATTTTCTCTGTGACCTAGTGTTTTGTAATGTATGTCAGTGGCTTAGGCTCTTGGTGGAATGATGACATTAATAGAGAGAAAAGTTATTGTCTCTAAATTCATGCAGTGTCCTTATCAAATAGAAAATAATGTTCCCTGACATACACACTATAAAGTTGCATTTTTACTGTGAAATAGACCCTAAAGTAATAAATTGCTGATCTATAAGTATACTAAATGTAGAATTTCTGGAGTATTTTGCTTAGTGGATCATTATTGTCCACAGAGCAATTAATGTTAATCCATTAATTCATTAAACATACATCTATGGAACACCCACTACTTATCAGCCATTGTCTGGGTTTCAACTTCAAAGAGCTTAGAATTTGTTCAGTAGGTATTTACAAAGCTGTAATGAAATGCTATAGATGGCACAAACTAAGTATTCTGTTAGGAGTGAGTACCTAGTGATGCTTTCTCAGACAAAGCTTTCCAAATAAATATTAATAGAATATATTTTAGCTATTTTCTGAAAAATAAATATTATTTTGATAGTCATATAAAATGGTTATGATTATGTTGATAATCATCTTTCAAGTAAAAAGAAATTATGCATCTACTCATGAAATCACTGTAGAACTCTTTCACTTATTAGACACATGAGTAGGACAGATAGAAAACACTCTTATCCATGTGGAGCATATATGACAAGGGCAATATTTTAGCAGATAGAAAATACTTATCTTAAAAAAAAAAAGTTGTGATTGGAAAAAAGTACCCAAGTACTCCCACACTAGTAACTTACTATAACATCACTTAATCTTGTCTTTTTATTTATTGCATATTATCTTTTCCTCCATCTCTTGTCTTTATATCAACTCCATGAGGACAAAGCCTTTTCCATCTCTGCATATGCCTCACATTTTAAATGAATGATGACTTACTGAGTGAATGAATAAGGGAATAAATATTTCCTTTGCTTAGAAACTAATTTTATGACTTCAGAAATTATACATCTAATATCACACTTAATGTTGAAAACCTTAGGCCTAGCAACAACAAACAAAAATGTCTATTTTTGCATGGAATAATCTATGGGATCAGAAGAAGGAAACCTAAAGTACTAAGTGAATTGTCAAGTTTGTATGATTCAGAGTCGGTAGCAATAATCGTATGCATTACTATCACTAGCTGTAATTAGAAATTAAATTTTAAAGATACTACTTAAAATAGCATGAAACATATCAAAACTCTAGTAAAAAGTAGAACAAAAGGTGATGTTAGACTTCCATAAAACATGTTTGAAAAAAATTTAAAAAGATCTAAATAAATAGAAATATATACACCGTATTACATGTCAGTCAACAAAAAAGAGAAAATCTGTTTTAATCCTTACTTTGAGGTAATAAGGGGATTAAAATTCTACAAGGAGAATCTAAAGTGAAATCTAAAACTTCTTGATCAAATTGTGCAATATTTTGCAATCTTTGGGAAGACAAAAAATTCTTAAATCAGACCCAAAAGCATTCATCATAAAAAATTAGATTTAATCAGAACTATAAAATTTGTTAATCAAATAACACTGTTCCAGAAATGAAAAGCTAAGTCCCATACTGAGAGAAAAAAAATGCAATACCTTAAGTCTAGCTAAAGACTTATATTTAGAATATGTAAATAACCTTTCTAATTTTACAGTAAAATGAAAAACAACCCAATTGACAAAATAGACAAACTATTTGAATAAATCCTTTATAAAAGAAGATATGTAAATGACCAACAAGCACGAGAGTGCTCATCATTACTGACCACAGAGATATACAAGTTTATACCACTATAATGATATACTACTTCATACCTACTTGAATGACAACATGTGATTGATAATACCAAATATTGGCAAAGATATGGAGAAACTAGACTTTTTATATATTATTGGAGGAAGAGTGAAATGTTATAACCACTTGGGAAAAGTGTTTGGCTATTTCTTATAAAATTAAACATATATACTTACTCTATAACTATCAATTTCAAAAGAATACTCATGTGAAATAAAGATCTATATCTACAATATGACCTGAACAGAAACATTTATTTCATAATGTCTAAAACATCCTTTGATAATGACTAAAAGCTAGACAACACCCACATATTCATTAACCAGGAGAATGGATAGCTAGGTCATGGTATAGTCATACAAAGAACAGTATTTTGCGATAAAAAGAATAAACTAATGATGCGACAGCAAGGATGAATCACAAACGTATATTGAGCAAAAGAAGGATGACACAAAAGGATGACATTTACTGTGTGATTCATTTTATATAACATTCAAAATAAGCAAAACTAGTGTAGGAAGATAGAAATCAAAACATTGAATGACCATGAGAGAGGACATTGACTGAAAGGAAATAGGTGAAAACTTTCTGGTGTGCTGGACAATGTCTTACATTGTGGATTTTCACTGTAAGGGTATATAATTTTGATAAATTTAATCAATCCATACACTATAAACTTGTGTATTCTACTGTATGTAAATCTTACATACACCACACCCATTAATGACATTTAGTAACAGATGTGACATGCTGAAAGAAATTAGTGAACATAAAGTAGTTTAGAAAAAAATGGACAGAAAGAAGTACAGAGAAAACTGAAAAATAGAGAAGACAGGTAAGAAATATAGAAAATACACTGAGAAAATCTAAAATACATTTAATTCAATTCAGAGAAAGCGAATAATGACAGAAAATGGGCAGAGGTCATAATTAAAGAGGTAATGGCTAGAAAGTCTCACAAACTGACCAAAGAAGTAAATTGAAGAAGGATTCTCCCACAAACAGTGTAAAAGCGTTTCTGTTTCTCCACAGCTTCGCCAGCATCTATTGTTTCTTGACTTTTTAATAATGGCCGTTCTGACTGGCATGAGATGGTATCTCATTGTGGTTTTGATTTGCATTTCTCTAATGATCAGTGATGATGAGCTTTTTTTCATATGTTTGTTGGCCACTCAACAAATATCAACTAAGATGTGTAAAAAGAAATGTATGTTCAAAAACCAACAAAACTTTTGAAAACCAAAGGTAAAAAGAAAATCTTCAAAGATATCATAAACAAACAAACAAAAATCAGATTACCTTCGAAAGCCTAACAGCCAGTCTGACAACTGGCTTTGTAGCAGAAATTAGGCCAACCAGAAGATAATATCTTGATTCCTTCAGGGGACTGAAAAATTAAAAAAAAAATCTGCAAACCTCAAACTATGAAATGAGTAAGAGAAAAACATAAATGTGCTTTAAGAAGAAAAGTGAAATATAAATATTTTCACATGGACTATGGTAAAGAAAAACTTATCAGTGTTCTTTTTTAAAATTTTTTATTTCAATAGGTTTTTGAGGAACAGGTCATATTTGGTTACATGAATAAGTTCTTTATGGTTATTTCTGAGATTTTGGTGCATCCATCACCCAAGAAGCATACGCTGTACACGATGAATAGCCTTTTATTCCTCACCCCCCTCCCACCCTTCCCCGAGTCCCCAAAGTCCATTGTATATACCTTTGTGGTCTCATAGCTTAGCTCCCATTTATGAATGAGAATATACAATGTTTAGATTTCCATTCCTGAGTTACTTCACTTAGAATAATAGTCTCAAATTCCATCCTGATTACCACAAATGCCATTATTTTATTCCTTTTTATGGTTGAGTTGTATTCCATGATATGTGTGTGTGTGTGTGTGCGTGCATGTGTGTATATCACATTTTCTTTATTTACTTGTTGATTGATGGGCATTTGAGGTGGTTTCATATAATTGCAATTGCAAATTGTGCTGCTATAAACATGTGTGTGCAAGTATCTTTTCTGTATAATTACCTCTTTTCCTCTGGGTAGATACCTAGTAATGGGATTGCTGTTGGACTTCACCTTTCTCTGGTGTCTCCTTGATTAGCTTAATAATTAACCTTCTGACTTATTTTTCTGGCAATTCAGAGATTTCATCTTGGATTGGGTCAATTGCTGGTGAGCTGGTTTGATCTTCTGGGGCTGTTAAAGAGCCTCGTTTTGTCATATTACTAGAATTGTTTTCTGGTTCTTCTCATTTAGATAGATTATGTCTGAGGGAAGATATGGAACTCAAGGGCTGCTGTTCAGATTCTTTTGTCCCACAGGGTGCTCCCTTGATTTGGTGTTCTCCCCCTTCCCCTAGGGATAGGGCTTCCTGAGAGCCCAACCCCAGTGATTATTTTTGCTCTTCTTGGTCTAGCCACATAGAAGACCTACCAGTCTCTGGGCTGGTACTGGTCTGCAAAGAGTCCTGTGATGTGATCCTTCTTCAGGGTTTTCAGCAATGGATACTGTAAGGTCCTCTGAAAGGGCTACACCGTGATTGAGCCATTATGACCCCTGTGACCCACACGTACAGGCCTCCTGGAGTCACAAAGCCTGGAGCAACAGGAGAACCACTAACGATGAAGAAACAGCTAGTTCCTGCCTTAACTGATAACAGACCTTGCAACATTCCACCATTGTGGAATCAGTCGACCTTGTGATATCGTGCCTTGTGACCTCCCCCCACCTTGTGACTATGCACCTTGTGACATTCTTCCCCTGCCTGAAAAATCTGCCCCTAAATGTAACTTTCCACTACCTACCCCAAACCTATAAAACCAGTTCCACTCCCACCACCCTTCCCTGACTCTCTTTTCAGACTCAGCCCGCTTGCACCCGAGTGAGTAAATAGCCATGTTGCTCACAGTTAGGCTGATTGGGTACTCTCTTCAATTAGGCACACACATAACAGATACCAGCACCTGCTCCAATGGAGGTAGCAGGGGAATGAACTTTTTGAGGGTCCTTGGTTGTATTTTTGGTTAATGAACTGGTTTTGTGGTTTCTTTTTGGCCTCCAGCCTGAAGGTGGCCCTTTCAAAAGCACATCAGCTGCTTTTGTATAGGGAGGAAGCAAACTCGCCTGTTTAAATATTCAGGTTTCTCAGGCAGTAGGCAAGGCCATAGAGCTCTCAAGAGATTATGTCCTTGGTCTTCAGCAACCAGGGCAGGTAGAGAAAGACCATCAAGTGGGGTCAGGGATAGGCTGAGCTCAGACTCTCCTTGGGTGGGGCTTGCTGTAGCTGCTGTGGGGGATTGGGGTGTGGTTCTCAGACCAATGGAGTTTTGTTTCCAGGAGGACTATGACTGCCTCTGCTGAGTTATACAGGTTGCCAGGGAAGTAGGGGAAAGCCAGCAGTCACAGGCCTCACCCGGCTTCCACGTAGGAACAGAAAGGAACTTAATGTGACAAAGTTACCTATTAAAAAGTTAAAGCAAGTGGCCTATTGAATGATTAAAAATTTCCCTTGAAATCAGAAATAAAATATGGTGGTTTATTTTCAGCACTTCTATTTAGCATTGTATGGTACTTGAAGCTTGAGCCAATGCTAATGGGGGGGAGGCAAAAAAAAAAAAAACTCTGTATGTGTAAAATAATTAAGCATTTATGGCAGAGAACATACCAATGAATGTGAGGAACCTCCAAAACCTCTCGTGTGTGGCCAGGCTGGCAAGCTTGGGTGGGGGCAGTTATAGGTTTTAGAGGTACCTGATAACATATTCAAGGGCTGGGTCTCACAGAGTGTGGAAAGAGGACACATTTTTCAGAGCAGATTTTTATTAATCATGGTAATTTCAAGATCATCAGAGAGCCTGAGGATAGCCACATTTGAGGGATATACTAAATGAACATTTCAGACACACTTAGAGAAAATACCACAAGACAGCCTGGGTCCTAGAAAGTAGTAAGGGACTTTGGAGCCCTTGTGTGTAAACAGCATATGCCAGGTTTCTGGTCTGGACTGCTGCACAGACTGAAGATGTCTGACGTGAAGAGTCCACTGAAACCAGGCACAGTGGCTCACACCTGTACTCCCAGTACTTCAGGAGGCCAAGGTGGTAGGATCGCTGGAGCCCAGGAGTTTGAGACCAGCCTGGGCAACATAAGGATGTCTCTACAAAAATTAAAAAAAAAAAAAAAAAAAAAAAAAAAAAAAGCCAGGCTTGGTGGTGCACATCTGCAGTCTTAGCTACTCTGCTGGCTGAGGTGGGAGGATCACTTTAGCAAAGACACTACGGAGAGGGCAGCCCTAGAAACCGAGGCAATGGAAACTCCAATTGCTCACCCACAGATGAAAGCATCATTCCGTAAGGCAGGTAAGAATCACCCCGTCAGTAGAGACTAATTCGAATGGTGAGTGTAACAGGCAACACTGACACAGGGGCCAGCAGTGACACACTGGACGATAGTTATTTCCAAAGCTTCTCCTGACACTAACATGGATTTGTTTTCCCAGTGACCCACCATTCACAGATGGGAGGAGAGAAAAGATCACCCCCAATCCCTGGAGCTTTAAGTCATGACAGGAGGTATAAGGGCCTATAAAACCATCCTAAAAAGTGTCTTTGACCCTGTGTAATTAGAGTCCTCTAATTGGCAAGTTTATAGGCCCTTCCTCCTGTTCATCATCTATTGTCATTGATAATGGGAGCTCCTAAGTAAAATGAATCCGCTATATAAAAGAAGGACAATTGTGCTTTTTAAAAAATGTGTTCCAACCTTCAAATTTTGACCTCTGTTCTAGATGAAATATTTTATGGAAAAGGAAATCAGTAAAGACAGGTGAGTGGTGATAGGTAGAGAAAAAAGTGTTGGGGTCATGGAATAGCTTAATGGGTGAAGAAACTAGAATAAGTTGAAGGGATTGGATACAAATGTCAGAGGAATGCCACCTTGATTGACTAGGATGATGATAGCTTTCACTCACTTGGCAAATATTTATTGAGTAGTGATATTTGGAAGTTACCTTGTTAACTGCTAGATATATAGCAGTGAAGAAAAATGACAGACACCAGCTCCTAGAGGGATATCAGCATCTATATTATTAACAGCATTAAGACACACAGCAAGAGATATAGCATCTTTGAAAAAATATGATAAATTTGAAAATTGACATTTCCTTAGGATATCTAGATGGAAAGTACAGTATACTATTGGGATTGAATTGCTGACACCTAAGAAAGTATTAAAAATAGTTATACTTGTTTAATCATTTATAAATTTCATCTCAATATTTCATATGTAGTCTTAGGAAAAAAAGCAATAGAAGTGAATATAGTATTTAAATTCCTAATAAATGGCAGTAGGATTGTATTATCATTGGAGGAAAAGAAAAGAAGAGAGAAACTGATATTAGATTTCAGTTGATGCCAACAGTTTAGCTTGAAAATATACAGTTATGTTTATATTTATTTATGGAAATTGATTCCCTGTTTTATCAAATCTGTAAGTTTAAATATTTTTTAGGTAGCTCTTTATGATAAAGACAAGTAAACTTTTATTTGTATAACTTCACTTTTTATCATGTATTCATTCCAAAATATAGTAGGCACCATTTTATAGACAGAAAACAGCAGCGAACTAAACAAAAAATCCATTTCTTATAGGTTTATATCCTAGTGATATATACTTTGTGTTTTTATTTCAACTTCTAAAACTAAGCTTTAACCCATTCCTCTTATGAACCTAGAAAGATTTCAAGTATGATGGGAAATGGGTAACTATTAAAAACTAATAATTACAATAAGGATAACAACAATAAAAATGCAAATTTTAAGTGGGTGACAAATCTAAATGCTTTACATATATATCTTTCCTTCAGTCATTTCAATTCTTCAAGAGTTAAATATTATTGCTTTCCACTTTTTTTTTTTTTCTTTTAGCAATATAGAAATACTGAAGCAATGAGTGGTTCGGGAATTTGCCAAAGTTCACAAGATTAAGTGACAGAGCAGGAATTCAAATTAGAAAATGTATTTTAACTACTCTAAAATAAATGTTCGTTTAATGCTTCTGGTTTATAAATCTGGTAGCTATGATTTTCCAATCCTTATTATGCATATATCAGTTAAAATAATCTGTGATATATTTTATAAGAACTAAGAACACTGGTGGGTGTCAGAGATATGGGGGCCATCCTAGTTCTGTCATTATTCAATATAGTCATTCTGGACAACATTGTTTTTGGTTTTTTTTTGTTTTTCATTTAATTAAATTTTAATTTTTTTGTTTTTCATTATTTCTTTTTTTTCTATTCTGGACAACTTTGTAACCTCCCATCTCTGCATCCTTAGAGACTGACAAAATCAATAATTTTAAAATACTTTTCTGAAAAGGAAATCTTACGGTAAAACCTGATATACAAGAAAGATAAAGTATTATTTTCAGTTGAAAAAAGCATATATTTTTTAAAACACCAGAATGAATGATTGAAGACACTTTAAGCTATGATGTTTCATGAATTTGCTAAACTTTACAATAAAATTATTATAAATACCTGTGGTGGTCAGAATGTTAAGCTGGCTCTCAAGCTTGATTCTCCCTTTCTAATGTCCACATATATATGTTAGTCTACTTTTTGTATGAGGAGGAAAGGAATTCTGTCTCGTGGATTTCTCTCTCGTGGTTAAGTTATATTACACGACTAAAGTGAAAGGATTCATGGATATGGTTAAGGTCCCATATTCATTAGCACTGAGTTCAAAAGAGAAATCTTCCTTGGTGCTGTTGACCTACTTAGGTAAACCCTTACAAGGAACTGAGCCTTCTGAAGCAAGGGATTTAAAGTATAAGAAAGATTCTTCTGCTGACATTGAAATAAAATGTCCTGTTTTAAGAGGGCTACGACCTGAGAGTGGCTTCTCGGAAATGAGAGCCACACCTGACCCAAATTCAGCAGGAAAATGGGAACTTTAGTCTTGAGAGGAACTGAAATCTGTCAACAACCTGAATGAGCTTGGAAGAGAGACCCAAGCTCCAGATGAGAACACAGCCTGCTGACACCTGATTTCACCTGCTGAGACCTAAGGTTGACTTTTGACCTACTGAGATAATACATTTATGTGGTTTTTAATCATCTAAATGTGCAGTGATTTGTTACATTGCAGTAGAAAACTAATAGAATTGCCATAAAAAGCCTTTTTTTATAATTCAGAGAAAAGCCTTTATATTTTATAAATTCATTAAACAAATAAGACTTGTTATATTTATATTTGCTGACTGATAAATTTCAAATGTTAAAAAACTCATTATTGCAAGAAAACTGAATTATAAAATAGCATATAATACTTTGTTCTTAAAATATACTTTATTTGTTGACATCCTGTTTCTTATATTAGGTTTATTTTTATGAGTCACCTACAGTGGTAGCTTATTCAGTTTTCTGAATGTCTTATGGATCTCCTTGCCAGTAGTACATTACTGTGATAATGACTTGAAAATAAATTCTGTCTGTGTTAAATTACTAACTCAAAATGTGTCGTGGAACTAATGATGTCAGAGGAGAGTCATGTTAATAATAGCTCTTCAAATTAAGCGGTTAATAAAACTCCACTTCTTTTCAAGACACTATCCCCAAAGCTTTTTAATTCCCTGTCTAGATCTCAATTAGTTATACGCATTTTTTTCAGATTGTTAAATTTATTCAAATTATTTCACTTAAAGAAATTTCAGCATGCATTTTTTGTGTGTGTGATTCTTAAGAGTTCTAAACATTTTTCTATTTTGGTAATAATATGGAAACAGCCTAAATTTTTTTAAAAATGGAATTGAACCCACACTGTCATTGTTGGGTTATGTCCACATTCTCCAATTCTACTTCTTACAGAATTATTCTCATACTTAAAATACTGGGAAGGTCATACATACCCTTAAGTGCCAAGTATAGTATTTCTATGAAATCAAGCAAAGCTTTTCATTAAAGTAAAATTTATAGCAAGTAAAGCCAGGTATTCTGCTGATGTGTAAATAAGGGCCTAAAACTTTGTTGTTCAGAGAATAAATCTTAATCACTTCTCTGTTATATATCACTGTATTACTTCATGACCTGCAAATCAATCTGTGCTAGGAATTTCTCCTCAATAGAACTATACTGTGGCAATAAGGGAAGGGATGAATTATATTGTGGTCTTATTGTGGACTCTATCAGAAATTCTATTCTCTTTAATTTGAGATTCAATCTATTTCAATTTGGGAGTTTCAGAGCAAGTAAAATGGAATTGAAATTAATTGATAAAACTCAAGGTATCTTCTATTAAAGTTCTTGGTATAATTGCCCACATTTCAGTCTGATCTCATTTAAGCTTCTTTGTATTATTAACTTTAAATTGTATGGTAATTAGGTTAATAGCATGACAGCTGGACAAATTAAGATACTTTCACTGCAGGTTTTCAACCTGTATCCTACCGTTTGTGACTCAATTCGTTATTCTTTTTGATGAAAGAGAATATATATCAAGCTACTGACCCACAGTATTTTAACCAAAGTCTTAGCTGAAACCATGCCTCCTGATGTTTGAAATAAATATTTTATTAGATATGATATTAACCAGCATAATTTATTAACCAATGACAAATATTTGGAAAGGCTTTTCATATTTATAAATTTTGCAAAATGTCATCCTGCTGGGAGGATAGAAACTTTAAGGATTTGTAATAAGCTGCATATTCCCATATCTGTTTCCAGAGGGAAAAGTCATTATCACATTGTGATTGTTAAATAATTTTTGTATATTTGAAACATTAAATAAATTATCCATTGGCTTTAATTTAAAAAAAGTAGCTCTGAAACAACCTGTAACTTGCAATGTAGTTTTTAAATAGTACTAGATTTCGAGCTTAAACCTAACCTTACCTATGAGTATAAAACATAAATTTTAAATGAGAACAAGATTGTTCTATTTTGCCTCAAGTGCACATTTGCACCAAATGCCCCTTTCCAAAGTTGTTACCATGTAAGGTCTTCAAAAACTGGATTCTCAAGTTTTAAAACTCAGTGCAATTGAGAGAGAGAGACACTCAATTGGCAAAGAAACCAGTGTTCACCAATATTTCTGGTAAATGGTGCTGTTAGTGAATTCCAGTTCTTATTTGAATGATTCTATTTCTTAAAGTGGGTAATTAAACAAATTTATTATTTTAAATAATATAAAAGTAAACACAAGTTATTTGTTGCATTGAAGTAGTTACAGATTCAGTGTCAGTAGACTTAGGATAAAATTCTAGCCCTGCATTTACCAACTATATGATCAGGAATGGATCAATTAAAGCACCACACAGAAAAAGACCACAGTTCAGAGATGCCCTCACAGAGATGTTGAGAGCTAGGCATGGGAGAAATCAAACTGTCCTAGGAACAAAGCTAAAGGAGATTCTACTTAAAATGTAAAACTCTGACCCTGTGGTATGTTAACAAAACCTCTGAGGTTTTACAGCAGAAATTATTATGAGGCATGGAAAGCAATGAGTCACTGATGCTAAGTGAGGATTAGGATTATGTTTACACCGACACATTTATTTCCTTTAGCCCCACCTGCAAGCTAACACCAGTCCAGATAGTATTTATAGTCACTTTGTATTTACTCATTTAATTAATATACAATTATTTTTAAAATAAAGACTTTGGAAGAAAAGTACAAAGCTCTAACTTCATAAATGTGTCATTCATTTGTAATTAAGCACTTTTCCTAATAAAGAACAGAGTAAAGAAAATCCACCAATGATAAAAAATTATCTCTATCACCCTGGACACATAATAAATAATTCTGCAAAATAATTTTAACTATATTGTGGTAGCCACAGCTAGTTGGCTGATTATCATGTCCACTTATTTTAATACACTATTCATTTTAGCAAATGGCTATTGTAAATGTAATTGTGAAGCCTTTGTCTAATCTCAGTTTACCAAAATCTTAAATAACTAGTTTTACACGTGCTAGTTAATGTTTTCTTATTGAAGTTATCTGTTACTGAGATTTAGTGAATTGTAATAAAAATGGCACAGTATCATATTTTAAATGTATTTATTATTATTAATGTATGTGTGTATTTATTTATTTTAAATTTATAGAGACAGGGGTTTCACCATGTTGTCCAGGCCTGTCTCAAACTCCCAGGCTCAAGCAATCTGCCTACTTCAGACTCCCAAAGTGCTGGGATTACAGGCATGAGCCATCGTGCCCATCCTTAACTGTATATTTTAGAATTTAAGTTGCATCCTTAGTACATTTGGTTCTCTGTTGAATTTGTGCTGAAATTTCCTAAGTAAAATAGTTTCAAAAAAATTATAAGCCATCATCCTGGTGAAAATTGCTGTGAAATTATTGAAAGCAAATGATAGAATGTGTTTTAAAGCTTTAATTCTACTGCTTGCTATTAATCTGGAATATGTACAGATAGATTAATTAATTAGCTAGTTGGTGGTCACATAGCTCATAAATGGCAGAACTCTGGACAAAATCTTGAAATATGAATCATTGCTATACAATCATTGCTGTGAATGTTTATATACCATACTGCTCTCCTTCTGCTGACAATAATTTTAAAATAATACTCATTTTGCTCTTTTGGAGCTCAACGTTCAATGAGAAGAAAGAGAAATAAAAAGGGCAGAAACATAATTTATTATGTCACATCTTTTATAAAATCAACCTTTTGTCCTAGATACAATCTAGAGGAAAGTGTGGTTTTTGTCCCACAATAAGATTAAGATGTCCAATTGAGTTGAGTTGGACATTGGAGTTTGAGACACACACACACACACACACATACACACAGATGCACACGCATGTACACACTTTAAAAATACTAGGAACAATAACAAGTAAAATGAATCAAATAATCTACAAATTTTAATACAACATAGTAGATATGTAAAGTATCTGAATTGATACAGATATCATAACAAGAGCTAAAGATATCATCTCAGTATATAGGTCACTCAAGGTTTTTTCAATCTATCTACAGCATTTTAATCTCCTCTTTTACCTTATTCAGCCCACACTAAATTTCTACTACTTATTTCCAATCTCTTCCCTTAACCAATTGTAGCTCATATGTTTGTCTTTGACATGTGAATATTTTAAATTCTTAATTTTAGTTTAAAGATCTTCAGAAACTTCTTTAATCTCTTGCAAGCCATCTTTAGGCTCTTTACTATTCCTCTAGACATTCTTTGCATTTCTATCCAATTGTATCCCTGCTCTAATAAACTTTAGACACCTTCAATTCTGGGAAACCTTCAACATATCTTAAGGTGATGCTTGGACCAGTCAATTTATTTTAGAAATGCAGAAACTGAAATATCTTCTGATATTCTGATAAAATATGCATGTGTTAGTTATGATGAATATTATGTGAAAAGCAGAGGTTCTCTTTTCTCTCTAGCAAGCTTTTTTTCAAGTTATTGTTTTTTCTTTAATCGTGTTTAATAAAATGACCCTTACTTCAAATGAACTGTAAATCAAAGATAGAGCTGTGATTTTTGATTAGAGAAAAACTTAACATGAAGTATCCTTATAATGCATCATAAAATTAAATTAGTGTTTAAACTACAATAAATCAGATTAATATCACTTAATGTAGGAACTTGCAAAGGCTTCCTATAAATTCAAAAATTCATCACATTCCTGGCTTAAGAGCATTACACACCCCTTTCTATTTCTTGGATCTCATCATTTTTTTTACCTAGGTATACTCGACTTCCTTTCATTCCTCAAAGACCCTGACCTCATCCTTGCCTTGGAACCTATTTCCTCTGCCTGGATTCCTCTGCCTGGTGAATTCGTTACCTTTGTCTTTACATAACCGCCCTTTGTCATTAAACTGCCAGTTTAAATGCATTCCACTCTAACTACTTCATCTAGTCATTCTAATTTTAATTTTCTTTCTTTCTCTCTTTCTTCCTTTCCTTCTCTTCTCTTCCTTTTTTCTGAGTCTGTCACCCAGGCTGGAGTGAAGTGGCGCAATCTGGGATCACTGCAACCTCCACTTCCCAGGTTCAAGTGATTCTCCTGCCTAAACCTCCTAAGTAGGTGGGATTACAGAAGCCCGCCACCACAACCAGCTAATTTTTGTATTTATAGTAGAGATGGTGTTTCTCTATGTTTGTCATGTTGGTCTCAAACTCCTGACATCTCAGGTGATCTGCCCGCCTCAGCCTCCCAAAGTGGTGGGATTACAGGTGTAAGCCATAGCACCTGGCCTAATTTTAATTTTCTAGTTAATGCACTTCTCCAGGCAAGTGGTTCTTGGTCTTCCCTGCATATTTGAGTCATACAGGGCTTTTAAATTTCAGACGTCCAGATCTCACTCTGGATTATCTGGGGGTGGGATGTAGATTTTGGTAAATTTTAAATCTCTGTAGGTGTGCACCGAAGTTGGAATACCCTTGAACTAGCTTTTGTTTTTCCTGTTGATTAATTGTTCAGATTGTGTTCCTCATGTCTTCTACCACTATAAGGCATAAGCCACTAACTGAAGGCATTTAGGCTGTCTTTACTTGCCCCTAAAATTTGGTGCCTAGGAGAATGCCTGGCAGAACATTTAGCAAACAAATGTTTGTTAAATGAACAAATGAAGAAATGAAAGGTAGTTCAACTTTAGCAGATGTCTCTGATTTTGTGATATTACCATGGTTGAGATTCTCTTCCTCAGACTTGCAGTTTTAGGAAAATAATTTTGTCAAGTATCCCAGCAAGGCCTAGGTTCACATATTAACTGGGTTTGCAGATTATTAAAACCAAATGGCATTTAATTAAATTAGCAGAGTGATAGATATTTCCAGGACTCTGAACATGATGCAGAGCATCATTTTTCTGGCTCTGGAATATTTGCAAGACCACAGTAATGCAAAAGATTCTGTGATATGCACGAAACTACAGCATAAACACTCTGATATTCATCTCAGAATGATGTATTTATACGTGTTTTCCTTTCAAATTTCTATAAATGTTTATAGGATTATGTTGTAGTCAGCATTTAACTATTATCTTATTGAAGTATTTTTTATTCTTCATATACTTCATCGTTACTGAGCCTATCATTGTGAGTGATAGGAGAAGATCATGGGGAAAGTGAGAGATCTTGTTAAAGCAGCCTGGAAATCCATAGGCAGTAATCTATTATTAATCACTAATAGAAAACAGTTTAATGCATTATCAGATTCACAACGGAAACTGAGCAAATCTTGTCTTTAAATAACAATTTTGAATAGTTTGAAGAATTTTTATTTTTTTTAATCAGATATCCTACTTTATAGGATTCACATGCCAGGGGGCTTTTATTCAATTTTGTGAAAAAAATAAAAATAGCATGCACTGAACAGTAGGAAGAAGTGCACCTATCTCCCCTAATAAAATCTTTTATCACTTTTGCTTCCCATGAGAGCAAGATATATAATAACGAACTTTCAAGAATATTTGTGGTGCACTTCTCACTGTTACCATGAGTTACCACTTAAAGCAGAATTTGCGGAGTCAAATGTCCAAAGGGGGTAGGCAGGTGATAGGAATGCTTGAAATATGACAGATTGAAAAACAGTCTTTACTTACAGGGGGAAAAAGCACTCCTTATCTTTTCCTGAAACATGTAGCCCTCTGGGTCAATTTTTACTCTTCCCACTTCTGAAACAGATAAGAATAGAAGTGTAATTTGCTTTTCTCTTACCTCTGCTATGGGAGACATATAAGTGGAAGGCTGATGTGGACAGCCCCTGCAACTTGACCTAAGTGCTGCCATGACAACAGGGACTAATGGGGAATGTACCAACCTGGCCTCTTGGTTTCTTATCCAAAAGCACAAGAGCTACTAGGCTCTGGGAAAAGTGTGGGTGTGCTGACAGGGTCAAGTTTTATGAAGTGTCAAGGCAAGCTATAAGACTACATCTTTATATAGAAGAGCCAGGTTTTTATGAAAGTAGCTAAGTCCATTTTGTTTTTAAATACTCTACAGTGTGAGTAAAGTAAAAGGCAGTGTCAATTAACCATATCTAGCTCTTGATCCATCATTTTATACCTGTACGTTGGAGATTAAAATTTTATAAATAAAATTAACTACTTTTAAGTAAAGTGTTATATTTTAGAGCTGTTTCATCTGAGTAATCACAACAGCTTGGAGGACATTTTTAGATTTAATGTAATAATTTCCTTCCCTTTTTTGACATTTATTAAATGCACAATATATGTGTAAATGATCTAATTTAAACAACAAAGAGAGATAGCTATTTGAGTCAAACATGAGGAATTTACCAAAAGGCTTTTTACCACTGCTTCATGACTAAACCCATTTTAATGTTATAAAGAATTAATTATGAACTCCAGTCAATGACATCACATAAATTTATGTTTCATAAATGTACGTAGCCACTTCTAAAGGCGATGTTGTCATAACTTTCAAGCATAAACCTGCCAGTACCTTTAATAGAAAATAAGAAACACTCTTTCTATAATAGCTAAAAATCAGTCCTGACTTACAAGTCCTATTCTGAGTTTATCACTCAAAATATGTTCACAGATTCAGATGTTGAGGATCAGCAACTTTTCAAAAGAAAATGTCATATAAGAAATTTTACTTATACAAATATAAGGATGGGAAATACCAGATTAAATTGCTTGGGATGGTTTCATTTAACTTTTTAAAAATAAAGTGGGTTACACACACACACACACACACACACACACATGCCATTCAGCATGGGCTTTTCCATAACTCCATTTTTGGTATCTGATTATAATATTACTTTTTATATTGAGAATATTATATTGCAAAATTCCAGGCCCTTTCTCTCTAAGGAATGCTAACTCTATCTCCACCTGTTTGATTCTATTGCTATTTAGAAAGAAATCCTTAGAAAGACAAATAACTTATTTCTTCTTTAAATTGACACAATCCCAACATCAAAAAATATCTAAACTCAGAGTCTAAAAGCATATAGCTCATTGTATTGAGCTGTTTTCTGATTACACATGAAAGGCAGCTATGGCTTAGAATCAGGATTTTTCATGAACTCTTTCAAAATTTTTCTCTCGTTGTTCCTTGAAATCTCTCCTGTTTTCATTCTTTCTTTTTTTCTTTTCTTTCTTAGCCATTTGGGAACTGCATTTTTCTATTTATAATTTTTAATTTTTACAAGTTCATAGTAGGTAAATATATTTATGGGGTACATGAAATACAATGGGCATACAATGTATAATAATCACATCAGTGTAAATGGTGTTTCCATCACCTCAAGCATTCATCAATTATTTGTGTTGTGAACATTACAATTCCACTCCCTGTATTATTCAAAAATTTACAACAAATTATTTCTGACTGTATTTATCCTGTTGTGCTATCAAATACTAGATTTTATTCATTCTATCTGACTAGTTTTTGTATACATTAACCATTCCCATTTCTCAATGCCCCCACTACTTTTCCCAGCCTCTGGAAAGTAGAATTGCTTTTCTACTCCCTACCTCCACGAGTTCAATTGTTTTGATTTTCAGTTCCCCAAAATAAGTGAGAATATGCGAGGTTTCTTTTTCAGTGCCTGGCTTTTTTCACTTAAAATAATGACCTCCACTTTCATTCATGTTCTTGCAAGTGACAGATTCTCATTTCTTTTTATGGATACATAGTGCTCCATTGTGTATATGTACCACATTTTCTTTATCCATTCATCTGTTGACAGACACTTAGGTTGATTCCAAATCTTAGCTATTGTGAATAGCACTGCAATAAACAGGGGAGAACAAATATTTCTTCAAGACACTGATTTTCTTTCTTTTGGGTATATACCCAGTACTGGAATTTCTGGGTCATATGGTAGTTCAATTTTTAGTTTTTTGAGGAACCTCCAAACCATTCTCCATTGTTGTTGCACTAATTTATATTGCCCTCAGCAGTGTACTAGCATTCTCTTTTCTCTTCATCCTCACCAGCATTCATTACTGCCTTCATTCATACAGCATTCATTACTTTTGGATAAAAGCCATTTTTACTGGAGTGAGATGTTATCTCACTGTAGTTTTGATTTACATTTCTTTGGTAATCAGTGATGTTGAGCAACTTTTCATATACCTGTTTGCCGTTTTGGGGGGTTTTTTTTGATAAGTGTCTATTCAGATTTTTGGCCATTTTTAATTGAATTATCAGATTTTTTTCCTGCTGAGTTGTTTGTGCTCCTTACATATACTGGTTATAATATTAGTCTGTTTTCACACTGCTTATAAAGACATATGCAAGACTCAGCAATTTAGAAAAGAAAGAAAGAGGTTTAATTCCACTTACAGTTCCATGTGGCTCAGAAAGCCTCACAATCATGGTGAAAGCAAGGAGGAGCAAGTCACATCTTGCACGGATGGCAGCAGGCAAAGAGAGAGCTTGTGCAGGAAAACTCCCCCTTATAATAACCATCAGATCTCAGGAGTCTTACTAACACAAGAACAGCATGGGAAAAACCTGCCCCCATGATTCGATTACCTCCCACCAGGTCCTTCCAAAAACACATGGAAATTGAAGATGAGATTTGGTTGGGGACACAGCCAAATCATGTCAGTTATTAATCCTCATGCAATAGATACTTTGCAAATATTTTCTCTACTTTTGCAGGTTGTCTCTTCATTGTTGATTGTTTCCTTTGCTGTGCAAAAGCTTTTTAATTTTATGTGATCTCATTTGTCCATTTTGCTTTGGTTGCCTGTGATATTTGAGTATTACTCATGAAATCTTTGCCCAGACCAATATCTTACGGAGTTTTCCCAATGTTTTCTTAGTGATTTCATAGTTTGAGGCCTTAGATTTAAGTGTTTAATCCATTTTAAGTTAGTTTTTGTGTATGGTGAAAGATAGGGGTCTACTTTCTTCTGAACTATATTCCAAGCACCATTTATTGGAGAGACTTTCCTTTATCCAATGTATGCTCTGGGCACCTTTGTCAAAATGAGTCTATTATAGATGTACGGATTTGTTTCTGTGTTCTCTATTCTGTTCCATTGGTCTATGTGTCTGCCTTTATCCCAGTAACAGGCTGTTTTTTTTTTCTGTAGTATAATTTTGTTTCCGTAGTGTAATTTGAAGTCAGGTAATGTCATTGTTTCACTTTTCTTCTTTTTGCTCAGGATAGCTGTGGATATTCTGGGTTTTTTTGTGGTTCTATATAAATTTTAGGATTATTTTTTCCTATATCTGTGAAGAATGTCATTGACACTTTAATAAGGAATGCATTGAATCTATAAATTGCTCTGGATAGTATGGACATTTTTACAATATAGATTCTTCTAATCCATAAACATAAAATATATTTCCATTTTTTAATGTGTCCTTTTCAGTTTCTTACATCAATGTTTTACAGTTTCCTTTACAGAGGTCTTTCACTTATTTGGCTAAGTTTATTTCTAGGTATTTTGCTTTATTTGTACCTATTGTAAATAGGATTACTTTTTTTTTTTTTTGATACAGGGTCTCACACTGTTGCTGAGGCTTGGGTGCAGTGGTGCAGTCATGGCTCACTGAACCCTCAGTATCCTGGGCTCTAGTAATCCTCCTACCTCAGTCTCCAAAGTAGCTAGGACCACAGGCATGTGCCACCATACCTGGCAAATTTTTAAAATTTTTTGTAGAAAAAGGCCTCACTATCTTACCCAAGCTGGTCTCAAACTCCTGGCCTGAAGTGATCCACCAACCTTCGCCTCCCAAACTGCTGGGATTACAGCATGAGCCACTGCACTCAGCCTGGGATTACATTTTTGATTTCTTTTTCAGATTATTTGCTGTTAGCATATAGAAATGCTATTTATTTTTGCATGCCGATTGTGTATTCTGAAACTTTACTGCATGAGTTTATCAGTTCTAGTAGTGCTTCAGTATCTTTAGGTTTATCTAAACATAGAATTATGTTTTCTGGAAAAAAGGATAATTTGACTTCTTCCTTTCTAATTTGGATGTGTTTCATTTCTTTCTCTTGTCTGATTGCTCTAGCTAGGACTTTGAGTACTATTTGGAATAACAGTGGTAAAAAGAGGCACTCTTCTCTTGTTCCATATCTAAGAGAAAAGACTTTCAGTTTTTCTCCATTTGGTATGATAATAACTGTGGGTCTCTCATACATGACTTTTAATACATTAAGGTATGTTCCTTGTATAGCCAGTTTTTTGAGTTTTTTTTTCTTAAATCATGAAGAAACACTGAATTTTACAAAGTGATTTTTTCAGCATCAATTGAAATGGCCATAGTTTTTCCCTTTATTCTGTTGATATGATATATCACATTGATTGATTTGCATACATTGAACCATCCTTGCATTTCTGGGATGAATCTGACTTGGTCATGAGGAATAATCTTTATAATGTGTTAATGAAATTCAGTTTGCTAGTATTCCGTTGAGTATTTTTGCATCAGTGTTCATCAGGGATATTGGCCTGTAGTTTTGTTTTTTTTTTGAGGTGTCTTTGGTTTTGTTTCAGGTTAATTCTGTGCTCATATAATTTGTTTGAAAGTATTCCCTCCTCCTCTATTTTCTGAAATAGTTTAAGTAGGATTGCTATTACTTCTTTAAATGTTTGGTAGAATTCAGCAATGAAGCCATCAGTTCCAGGACTTTTCTTTGCTGGGAGACTTTACTGTGGCTTTTATTTTGTTACTTGCTATTGGTCTATTCAGGTTTTGGATTTCTTCATGGTTTAATCTTGGTAGCTTATATGTGAATAGAAATTTTTCCATTCCTTCTAAGTTTCCTAAGTTATTGGCATATAGTTGCTCAGAGTAGTTTCTAATGATCCTTCAAATTTCTAAGATATTAGTTTTCATGTATCCTTTTTCATCTCTGATTTCATTTAAATCTCTCCTTTTTCATATTCTGGCTAAAAATTTGTCAATTGTACTTACTTTGCATAAAAAGCAACTTTTAGTTACAAAAATATTTTGTATTGTTTTCATTTCAACTTTATTTCTGCTATGACTTTATCATTTATTTTATTCTACTAATTTTGGGTTTGATTTTCTTTTGCTTTTCCAGTTCTATAAGATGAATTATTAAATTGTTTGTTTCAAGTTTTTCTGCTTTTTTAATGTAGGCACTTGTAGCTATTAACTTTCCCCTGAGTACTGCTTTTGCTGTATCCAATAGGTTTTGGTATGTTATGTTTTCATTTTAACTTGTTTTAAGAAATTATTTCATTTTCTTTTAAATTTTTTACTTGACTCACTGGTCATTCAATAGCATATTGTTTAATTTTTATGTGTTTGTATATTCCCAAATTTTTGTTATTCATTTCTAGTTTCATTCTGTTGTGGTCAGAGAAAATATTTGATAGACTTTTAATTTTTTAAGACTTGTTTTGTGGACTAACATATGGTCTATACTTGATAATGATCCATGTGTTGAAGAAAAGAATGTGTATTCTGCTGTTGGATGAAATGTTTTGTAGATATCTATTAGGTCCATTTGATCTATAGTGCAGATTAGATCTTTGTCACTTTGGTGATTTTATTTCTGGATAATCTGTCCAATGCTGAAAGTGGGGTGTTGAAGTCTCCAGCTATTATTGTATCGTGTTCTCTTTTGTTTCAGTAATATTTGTTTTATGTATCTGGGTACTTCAGTGTGGAGTACATATATCTTTACACTTGTTATGTTCTCTTGCTGAACTGATTTTTTTTACCATGACAATGACCTTTTTTGTCTCTTTTTATAATTTTTTCTTGAAATCTACTTTTGCTTACATAAGTATATCTACTCCCATAACTTTTTTACTTTCCATTTGCATGAGATACCTTTTTCCATCCTTTTTTTCAGTTTATTTGTGTCTTTATAGTTGACATGCATTTGTAGGCAACAGATTGTTGGGTCTTATTTTCTTTATCCATTCAGCCACTCTGTCTCCTTTGATTGCATAATTTAGTTCATTTACATTCAATGTATTATTGATAAGTAAGAACTTAACTTCTACCATTTTGTTATTTGTTTTCTGGTTGTTTTGTGGTCTTGTGTTTCTTCCTTGTTCCCTGTCTTCCTTTCTGTGAAAGTGATTTTCTCAGGTGGTATGTTTTAATTTCTTGCTTCATTTTGTGTGTGTGTGTGTGTGTGTGTGTGTGTGTGTATCTATCGTAGGTTTTATGATTTGAGGTTAGCCTGAGGCTTGCAAATGACAAAACTTGTTATTTTAAACATACAACTTAACTCTGATTATACAAATTAGCTAACAAGAAAAAAGAAAACTAATAAAAACTCTAAACTTTAACATCATCTTCCTATTTTTTGACTTTTTGTTGTTTCTATTCATATATTATTACACCATCTATGTCTTAAAAAGTTGTTGTAGTTATTTTTTTTGATAGGTTTGCCTTTTAGTCTTCCCACTCAAGATATAAGTAATTTACACATCACAATTACAGTGTTATAATATTCTATATTCGTCAGTGTACTTACTGTTACCAGTGAGGTTTTTACCTTCATATAATTTCTTATTACTCATTGAAGTCCTTTTCTTTCAGAATGAAGAACTCTCTTTAACGTTTCTTGTAGGACAGTTCTGGTGTTGACTCTTGATCTCTTTAAAATGGAAATGTGTGGCCACTATGGAATCATCAATAGCCACAGGGCTGTTCAAACTTTGGTTAACTATACCTATTCTTTTAGGTATGATCGAAGGAAAGGAGATGTAAATCCCCTTTGCTTAGGTCAGATATTTTATATTGAGGTCACTTTCTATGAGATAAAACAGATAATGCTTAGCTTCAAGAAACAGATACACCAATGATTTTCTCTTGGATAAATCATGGCCACCAAATCAAAGGAAGTGCATGCGAGTTTATGTGGCAAGGAAAGAGTGCTCAAAGAAAGCCATAGGAATTTAATTCTTTCTATTTGGATGCTTTCTCAACCCCCAAACTTCCTCTTGATCATTTTAAGTTTGTATGTAGATAGAAAATATTATATGTTAACCAATCTTTAAACATTTTCTTTGTTACTAGAAATAATTATAAGCATGAATACCTTTTATTTAATCAGGGATAACCCCTTATGTATCCTAGTATTTGACTTGTTTATAACATTAAATATATAAAATATAAAGAGTCAGACTAAGTGAAGCTGTTTTTAAGAATTCATACTGTCACGCTAGTAATGCCAGCACTTTGGGAGGCCTAGGCAGGTGCATCACCTGAGGTCAGGATTTTGAGACCAGCCTGGCCAACATGGCGAAACCATCTCTACTAAAATATGAAAATTAGCCAGGCATGGTGGCAGGAGTCTGTAATCCCAGCTACTTTGGAGGCTGAGGCAGGAGAATCACTTGAACCTGGGAGGCAGAGGTTGTAGTGAGCAGAGATTTTGCCAATGCACTCCAGCCTGGGTGACAGAGTGAGACTCCTTCTCAAATAATAATAATAATTCATACTCAAACTTCTAAGTTAATGCTTATGGCTCTCCTCAAAATAGGGGACAAAAAGTTATTTACTATAAAGAACATTCAGTTAAACTGTTCTTATTTCTAAGACTATTTTTAGATTATGATTTTGGAAGTGGAACACGGTAAATACTAAGAAAACAAGGTAAGGATGAAAGGTAGCTTCCACTTTGAATATAATCACGCTACTAGAAGTTTGATTAATTCCCAGCATATTGATATGTAATAATCAAACCAAGTGATCTCATATTTAGCTCTTCTATTTTTAATTTTTATTATAACATTAATAACTATAACTAGAACCAAAATACATAATAAACCATGCTTCATTATATTTTTTGAATAACTATGTTGAGCTTTATCTTATACTGACAAATGATTAGTTCAACTGTTTGGTGTTTTATTGTAACATTTATTTTCAATTCGATGTTAGTAATCTAATTTCTTTATACAATGATGATACTTCTTGAAAAAATTTTTTCATAAAGTCTATGAGTGTAAGAATGAACTTAAAACATCTAGTTTTTCATGAAATACCTATAGATATTCAGCAAGGAGAAATAGATATTTGATGAAAACTTGATGGAAAAGGCCGTAGGAAAACCCAGTGATTGCAATTGCATAAAGATAATGAGGTTATTTTTCATTCCTCACTTTTTGCTGGTATAGAAGCTATAAATGGAAAAAGAAAGACCTCAGGAATAGTCATAGGTCATTAATCACACCTAGAAAATATTTTTGCATCTCTAACATATGCATAATAACAAGTTAAAAATATTTGGAAATACAGCAATGATTACATGGGTGCATTTTTAAAATGTATAGTGCCAGACTAAATTGTGGCCATAGCTGTATGTTTTTTCATCTTCCTGATCAATTATTTTTACCATTTGACAAAAGTTTAATTATGTTACACTAACAACACATTTGTACAAAGACAAATTTACAAACTGCCTTAGCAAGAAATTATTCAGAAACATTAAACAAAGAGAAATTAAATGTTTTTTTAGATAGATTGCTGTCTAATTTGATCCTAAGTATTTATCCTGCATAGAATATATTGCTTTTAAGCAATGGTATATATCCTAAATATCACAATAGACAATTAAATTGATTATTTTAATCCTTGGTTCCAGTACAAAGCTGTTATGTTTTCTTCATCAGTTTGAACTTTGCTACCCTTAATGATAATAATATTGCTAATAATAATAATTGGAAGCATATATTGCACACTTATAGTATGTCGGCACTGTGCTAAAAAATATGTTATTACACTTTATTCTCACCATGATCGTGGCCAGGTGAGAAGACTCCAGCTTACAGGTAAGCCTTAACTTTTGCTCACATAACTAGTGAGAAACAAAACGGACCAACACAAAGTCAAATATAATGATTAAGAAAACTATACTAATGAGTATTGAACCCATCTTTGCAAACATTATAACTGAGACAATTATTACAGTGAAAGACACCTGACTTAACTGACTCCATCTTGTTTCTAATCTCCAAACTGTCCTTGTTCTTTCCTGGGTGTAGGCCAAACTAACTCTAGGAGGAACTTGGTTTATGTTTTAGCTTTGAACTAAAGACGACAATGGCCCTTTCCCAAAGTAAACCTCCTTCCTGGGGACTAGACTGCCTTTGCAGGACTAACAAATTATCCACAAGATTAGAAATTATGGTTTAGGGGTAATGGAGCTGGAGGTTGCAAGACTCTGTACCTCCCCAAATTGCTTTTGGGGATAACATTACTATTGTAAAACCTAAGATCAGTGTTTGAGATATTTTTCAGACCCTGCACTCAATGGATCAGCTGATACCACCTGGATTGATGAATTGGCTCATTTGGTCTTGTGGCCCTCAAGAGGATGGCTGCAACTTCCTATGATTTCATCTCCAACCCAACCAATCAGAAGTCCCAACTTACTGGCCCCCTATCCACCAAATTATCCTTAAAAACTCTGATCCCTAAATGCTTGGGGAGATTGATTTGGGTAATAACAAAATTCCCAGTCACCCACAGAGCTGGCTCTGTGTAAATTACTCTTTCTCTATTGCAATTCCCCAGTCTTGATAGATTGGCTCTGTATAGGGAGTGACAAGCGGAACCCACTGGACAGTTAACAGTACATCTGAAAACTTTCAACATAAAATTTATATACTAAAATCTAATGTTAATTTCAAAGTTTTCAAAGAAACATTGTTTAAATAAATTTTCCTCCATTTTTATTTAAGTTATGAAAATAGATAGATTCTACCTTGGAGTTACATTTTTGTCTACCTTTACACCTGAAATAGAGACAAAAAAATAAAAATGAAAGCTCACATAAGAATTCATAATGACAATCACCTAAAATTACATAGATTTGAGGCTTAAACTGACACTGCTTGTGAAGTAATTTAAAATCAAAACACCTGATAGGACATATCAAAGACAACATATATCAGAGCCTATGACAAAATGTGAGAAGGGTGTTGTACCACTGTGGTCACTTTCGCTAAAACCTATTAGCTCAGTGTAACCATGAGAAAATCATCAAACAAACCCAAATTGATGAATATTCTACAAAATGCCTGACCAATACTCTTAAAGAAAACTGCCAAGATCATGAAAAGCAAGGAAAGCCTGAAAAGCTGTCACAGAGCAGAGGAGACTGAGGAGGCATGATGGTTAAATGTAGCATGGCATTTAGAACAGGATCCTGAACAAAAAATGAACAGTGGTGATGAAGCTAGTGAAATGTGAATAAAGTTTGGAGATTAATATACCAACGTTGGTTTCTTAGTTGTTACAAATGCACCATAATAATGTAAGATTTTAATAAATGGAGATACTGGGTACGGCATATGGGACCTATCTTTTCTATATTTATAACATTTTCTGTGAATCTAAAACTATCCTAAGATGCAAATATATATATATATATTTTTATTTTTATTTTTATTTTTATTTTTTTGAGACAGGATCTCACTTTGACACTCAGGTGAAGTGCAGTGGCGCGATCTCGGCTCACTGCAGCCTCGTCCTTCCAGGTTCAAGTGATCCTTCTGCCTCAACCCCCCAAGTAGCTAGGACTATAGGGTAAGGCCGCCACATCCAGCTAAATTTTGATTTCTTGTAGAGATGGGTTTTCACTATGTTGCCCAACTCCTGAGCTCAAGCAATCCACCTGCCTCAGCCTCTCAAAGTGCTGGGATTATAGGCATGAGCCACTGTGCCCAGCTCCCTAAGATATATTTTTTATTAAAAAAAAAAAAAAAGCTCAGGTTTACAGTAAAGTTGAAAATAATTCTGAGTTTGTAGAGCCATACCTTTTTGGTAGAAGCAAAATTAAATTCTCTGTTAAAATACACAATCACAAATCAGGCTTCAAGTGTGCCCACAGAAAATATTCAAAGGATACATTCACAAAAAAGGAGAAAAAGTCCTGCTGTGGTGGCTCACACCTATAATCCCAGCACTCTGGGAGACCAAGGTGGGAGGGTCACTTGAGGCCAGGCATTCAAGACCAGCCTGGGCAAAATAGCAAGACCCCACCTCAGAAAACATAAAATAAAATAATTTTTATAAATTTAAAATTTTTTAAAAAGGAGAAAAAAAATCAAAACACAGAAGAAGGCAAAGAGCCTTAAGTCACAGTCTTCAAAATTAAGAGCGGTTATTGGATTTATCAGATACATAGTATATTTAGTTGAATGGAAATGTTTCAAGTTTCTTATTTCCAAATTTCAAGATCATATATTTCAACATAATGTAATGAATATATTTACATTAAAAAATAAAAAAGATATTGAAAATAGGATAAAGAAAAATTTATCAATAGAAAGTGACCAGATAGATCTGTATAAAAAACAAATTTAATTTCTAGAAAAGAAAATATTATTCAATGTGACAACTAAATTATTTAAACAGAAGACTAGACCCAGCCAAATATCAAATTATTGAATAAGAATTAAGAGTTAGATTATTATATGAATGCAGCAGAGTAAAATAAAGAGGCAGAACTTATAACATGGTAGTTAAGGGTTATGAAGAATGAAAAAGGGGGAAAATGTCTATCATAACCCTAAAGAAATTACCAGAAGAGATGAAAATAAGGAGATAAGAAGTAGAATATTTGAAGAGATCACATTTAAAAAATGTTCCCAATTGATGAATGACAATATGGCAGTTTTGTGTTTGGAAATCACTGTGAATCTTGAGGAAAATAAATACTAAAAATCTATGTTGTGGATTCATTGAAATTTTAGAACTCCAGAGAAAAAAAAAATAAGAATTCTAAATTTGCAGAAAGAAAAGAATGGCAATTTGATAATTCTTATTTTGACAGAACGGAAGCTGAAGATAATGAAATTATTTATTTAAAATGCTTAAAATATTATACTCCAGAAATCTAAATCCCATAAAACTATTTTTTTTTCAATGGAATGTTTCAGTCAAAAACTATGGATACATCATTGAGAATACTATCAGGAGACACTTGATAAAATTACTTTTGCAAGATGTATTTCAGGAAGATGGTAAATGACCTACAAAAGAAGGATTGACTTGCAGGAAGAAATGACATGCAAAATAAAATGGTAAACATGAGAAAAGATAGATGAGCCTGACATTTACAGAACAGTAGTAATAAATCATAGTTGGTGGTCAGGTACAGTGGCTCACGCCTGTAATCCCTGCACTTTGGGAGGCCGATGTGGAAGGATCTCTTGAGCTCAGCAATTCAAGAGCAGCCTAGAAAACACAGTGAGAACCCTAAAAAAGAATTAGCCAGGCAAGATGGTGGGTGATTATAGTCCCAGCTACTCAGGAAGTTGTGACAGGAGGATCACTTGAGCCCAGTAGTTTGAGGTTGCAATGAGCTGTTATGGTGCCACTGCACTCCAGTCTAGGCAACAGAATGACACTTAGTCTCTGAAAAATCAAATCAAAATAAAATTTAAAAGATAAATCACACTTAGTAAATTTAAAACAAAATTAAAATAATAAACCAGAAGGGTTTATTGAGTTAGTTGAGAAGTGAGATGCCAGACATAATAGCAATTTATTTACTATTTTTTAGGGGGTGAACTAACTTTAGATTCATTACCCTAAATATGTGTATTTAAATTTATAACATAGCAACAGGAAAAATAGAAAAGCAGTGTATAATTTTCCAAACAGTGAAGGTAGTGTGGAATCAAAATTCAATTCAGAAATTGACTAAAAACAAAATAAGAGAAAAAGAGGGAAAAGAGCACAAATAACACAATAAAAATTAATCTAAATATAATCAGTAAATATATATGTCTAAACTCTCCAGATAATAATTAAAAATTGTCAACTATATGCTGTTTGCAAGATACAAACATAAAACATAAAAACATAGCAAATATTTGAAGTCAAATGGTGGAAAAGTTGTGGAATTTTTAACCAAATATCAACTGTTAACAAAATGTTGGTATCAGACAAAAATACTTCAAGGGAAATCATTATAAGAAAAAAACCACTACATAATGATAGAATTTTTATTAGCCAGGATGACATAACAATTCAAAATATATTTCCCTCATAAAGTAACTTCAAATATAAAACACAAATATTAGTAGAACTATAAGAAGGAATTAATAAGTCTACTAGCATATTATGAGTTTAAAACAATTCTCTCAGTAAATGACAGCTCAAACATGAAAATTCAATAAAGCATACATTTAAAGAAATCATTTATGACTGCCATAATATACATGTATAAAAAATGATTTCACAACCTGAAATAACGTATGCTTCCTAAAGCACATAGGAAATGTTTTGTCAAATTTTAACCTATTAATCCAAAGAGAAAATCTGCACAATACACTAAGGCATAGGGACATCCAGACTACTTGTTCTATACACCAGATGAAGGCATTGAAAATCAATGACATAAAGATAACAAAGAAAAGATCTTTTACTTAAAAACTAAATAACAGATTTTAAAATAATACTGAATTTATATCTGCAAAATAATATACTAACACCCGTTTAAGTGTTATAACTACAAATATTTAAACAATCTTTACATCATTTATGATCATACCACTTTAAATTATAAAATAATAGACTATAGTAAAGTAAATTCACAATATAAATTATTAACTTCATGTAAATATTTTACCAAATTTCATAATGATAAACTGAAACTTAGCTATTTCAGTTTGTATATTAGTGTGTAAAAATATATTTATATAATAGTTACAGACAAATCAAACATAAAATTAAGGTTTATTTTTTCTATCTTGTCTAATCTATGATGAAGGTTTTAATTAAAGTCCAAATTAAATGTTTTATAAACAAAATTTCTCAAATGAAAATTATTTTAAACACTATTAATACATGTGAATATTTTTTCTCCCTTACAATAGCTCTAAATCATAATACCCTGTATAACTTAAAATTTATTCTAGGCGCTCTTCATTGAATTTTTGAAATAATTTTTATTCATTGAAAATGAGACAATAATATCATGGACACAAACATTTAAAAATTGGCCACACTTCAGTAAATCTTAACATTATGCCTTATTTGTTTTAGATCTTTAAGAAACAAAACCAAAAATTCAATATAAAACATACAAATGAGGCCCCATTTCCTCTTTCCTTTCCAATTTTGCTTTGCTGGGAGGAAATCAATTGAGCAGTTTTCATATTTTTGCTACTATGAACAAAACATGATGTTATGAACTTCTTGTGCAAATTTATTGAAGCACGTTTGTGAGTTCCTCAAGGTTGCGCACATAGAAGAGGAAATACTAAGCCATGGTGTTTGAACATTTTCACCTTTACTAGATATTATAGATACTGCTCTTGAAAAGGTTGTATCTGTGTTCACTCATTCAATAGTGTATAAGATTTTTTTTTCTTCTTCCTTTTCACTAACATTTGCTATTTTTTAGAGTTAAAACTCTGTCCAATAAAATGGTGGATAAATATTATCGTATCATGTTAATTTAGTTAACTACTTCTAGTTTGAGGTGGTTATTGTAGTTTGTTGCAGATCAAAGATGGTCACGAACTCTGAATCTGCTACCAATGTTGAAAAATAATAGTGCTAGCGGAGCTTCTGATCTTTTCTCTGACATAATGAATGAATTCTAGAAAGCTTCCAATTATTAAAATAGTTTCCCATGATTTTAGAAGACGTTTCATATAAGATTATGAAGCATTGTGTATGTGCACATTTTGCTAAGTGTGTATAATTAAAGAGTGATGACCGGGCGTGGTTGGGAGGCCGAGGTGGGTGGATCACGAGGTCAGGAGATCGAGACCATCCTGGCTAACACAGTGAAACCCCATCTCTACTAAAAATACAAAAGATTAGCCAGGCGTGATGGCGGGCGCCTGTTGTCCCAGCTACTAGGGAGGCTGAGGCAGGAGAATGGCTTGAACCCGGGGTGCGGAGCTTGCAGTGAGCTGAGATCTCGCCACTGCACTCCAGCCTGGGCGACAGAGCCAGACTCCGTCTCAAAAAAAAAAAAAAAAAAAAAAAAGGGATAAAATTTGCCATGTCTTTTCTATATTTATTTGTATGCTCTTCAGAGCTTTCTTCTTCAACCGATTAAAATGGTGCATTGCATTAATTTTCTACACTAAAGCATCCTTACATTCCTAAAATAACTGTCTTTAGTTATGATTTATCATACTTCACCTAATCTAGCATGCCACTGATTTTGAGGTTTTGTTATTTAATAAACCTCTAAGGAATAACAACAAAAATAAATAGCACAATTTAAATTACCCAATAATTTTGCATCATGCAGAAGTATTATTTCACACTTATTGAAGGATGTTAAATTTATATAAATACAGATTTGTTTTACTTATAAAACTTTTGCGTATGTAAATAAATAATTTTCTTAGTATATTTTATTTACTTATTTTACATTCTGAGTCAGATGTATTGTAGTAACAAACTAAATCACATATTTATCTATCTGTGGAAATTTTTATTTCTTAGGTCTCATAAAATACTTAGTTGTTTTGAAAACAATAGTGGTCATATCTTCAATAATAAATCTTTGCTTCGCACATATTTACAGTTATCCACTCCATAATGACATTTTGGCCAACATGCACATATGATAGTAGTCCCATAAGATTATAATGGTATTGAAAAATTTCTATCGCCCAGTTCTAATATGATATTGCAACATATTATTCACATCTTTGTGGTGGTACTTCAGGAGGTATTCTAGAAGTAGATACTATTATAATAGGCGATGATAGCTCCATGCATGTTATTGCCCCTGCAGAACTCCCAGTGGGACAAAATGTGGAGATGAAAGACAGTGATATTGATGATCTCAATCCTTTGTAGTCCTGAGCATATGTGTGTGTCTTAGTTTGTAACAAAAAAAAACTAGAAAGTAAAATAAATGAATAAATACATTTTTTAAACGGAAGACAAAAGCTTACAAAGAAAGATATTTTTATATACAGCTGTACAATATGCTTATTTTTAAACTAAGTGTTATTACAAGCCTGTAATCCCAGTACTTTGGGAGGCCTAGGCGGGCGGATCACCTGAGGTCGGGAGTTCAAAACCAACCTGCACAAAATGGCGAAACGCCGTCTCTATTAAAAATACAAAAATTAGCTGGTCATGGTGGTGGGTGCCTGTAATCCCAGATACTCGGCAAGCTGAGGCAGGAGAATCACTTGAACCTGGGAGGCGGAAGTTGCAGTGAGCCGAGAGCTCACCATTGCATTCCAGCCTGGGTGACAGAGTGAGACTCCGTCTCAAAAAAAAAAAAAAAAAAAAAAAAAAAGTTTAAAAAAATACAAAGTTTCGAAAGCAAAAAAGTGTCAGTAAGAAAATGTTATTATTGAAGAAAGAAAAATGCTTTTTATATATTTGGTCTAGCCTAATTGTACAGTGTTCATAAAGTTTACAACACTGTACAGTAATGTACTAGTCCTTCACATTCAGTCACCACTCACTCATTGTCTCAACTCCGGGAAACTTCCAGTTCTGCAAGCTCCATTCTGATAAATGCCTTATACAGGTATACCATTTTTAATTTTTAATACCATATTTTTACTATAACTTTTCTATGTTTACATACACAAATGCTTACTATTGTGCCACAATTGACCACAGTATTTAGGAGAGCAGCATGCTGTACAAGTCTGTAGCCAAAGAACAATAGATTAAACCATATAGCCTAGGTATGGAGTAAAGTTTGTGTAAGTGCACTCTATGATGTATGCACAATGATGAAATGACACATTCATTTATCAGACTGGATACCCATCATTAAGCTACTCATGACTATAATTCTTTCTGAATTAATTTGTTTCTATACCTCTAATATAAACAATAACTTTTGTTCAAAAGCTAATACATTTTGTATTATTTTATTTTTTGTAACTTTTATGTTAGATTCAAGGATAAATATGCAGGTTTATTATATAGGTGAATTGTGTGTTGTAAGGATTTTGTGTACAGATTATTTTGACTCCTAGGAAATAAGCACAGAACCCAATAGTTTTTTTTTTATCTTCACCCTCCTACCCTCCACCTTCAAATAGGTCCTGGTGACTGTTTTTCCCTTCTTTGTGTCCTTAGGTACTCAATGTTTAGCTTGGACTTATATATAAGAACATGTGGTATTTGGTTTTCTGTTTCTGTGATAGTTACCTTAGGATAATGTCATCCAGCTCCATTCATGTTCCTGCAGAGAACATAATCTCATTCTTTATATGGCTGCATAGTATTCGTGGTGCATATATACCACGTTTTCTTTATCCAGTCTACCATTGATGGGCATCCAGGTAGATTCTATGGCTTTGCTATTGTGAACAGTGCTGTGGTGAACACACACATGCATGTGTCTTTATGGTAGAATGATTTATATTCCTTTAGGTATATACCCAATGGGATTGCTGGGTCAAATGATAATTCTGTTTTAATTTCTTTGAGAAATTGCCAAACTGCTTTCCACATGGCTGATCTAATTTACATTCCCGCCAACAGTGTGTAAGTGTTCCCTTTTCTCTTCAACCTTGTAGCATCTGTTACTTTTTTACTCTTTAGTAATAACCATTCTGACTGGTATGAGATATTATCTCATTTTTGATTTGCATTTCTCTAATGATTAGTGATGTTGAGCATATTTTCATATGCTCGTGGGCTGCATGTATCTCTTTTTTTGAGAAGTGTCTGTTCATATCCTTTGCCTACTTTTTAATTAAGTTGTTTGTTTTTTACTTGTAAATTTGCTTAAGTTCCTTACAGATTTTGCATATTAAACCTCTATTGGGTGCATAGTTTGCAAATATTTTCTCCCATTCTGTAGTCTTTTGCTGTGCAGAACCTCTTATTTTAATTATATCCTATTTGTCAATTTTTGTTTTTGCTGGAATTGCTTTTGGCATCTTTGTCATGAAATCTTTGCTAGGTCCTATGTCCAGAATGGTATTTCCTATGTTATCTTTTAGAATTTTTATAGTTTTAGGTTTTACATTTGAATCTTTGATCCATTTTCAGTTAATTTTTGCATATGGTATAAGAAAGGGATCCAATTTTAGTCTTTGGCGTATTACTAGCCTCTTATCACAGCATCATTTATTGAATCTGGAGTCCTTTCGCCATTGCTTGTTTTTGTTGACATTGTCAAAGATCAGATGGTTGTAGGTGTGTGGCATTATTTCTGGGTTCTCTATTATGTTACATTAATCTATGTGTGTATTTTTGTATCAGTACCACTATGTTTTGGTTATTGTAGCCCTGTAATGTATTTTAAAGTCTGATAATTTGATGCCTCTAGATTTCTTGTTGAATTTATTTTAAATTGCAAATCATCTTGAGAGATGAAGTTCCAACATTAAAAATTAATACAAAATCTAAAGTGAGAGTAATAAAAGCAGTTGTTAACAAGGTCAGGCATGGCATGTGTGGTTCATGGGAACTACTTACAAATTTAGCAATAGTTAACATAGGCATCCCTTTAATATCTGCAAGGATTGAACAGACATACAAAAGGATGTGCATTTACCATATGCATACATATCAAAGATGTAAATTAACCTAATAAGCTATTAAATATAACAGATTCTATCATCCTACTTGACAGTTACGATTTCATAAAGAAAAAAATGAAAACATATGTAAAGCTGCTTTTATACAATTAAAATTTAGCAAATTACCAAATTCTGAATTTAGTTTTGTGCATTCTTTGGAGTCTCTTAATGAGAAGATTTTCTGCACTAAAGTGAAAACTATAAATCATAATTGATAAATATAAAAATTCTAATTATATTTTGAATAAATATGAAATCATTTATTTTACTACAATCAAATTGTATTAGATACTAAAAATATGTTCACAGTTTTAGTATTCAAATACATCTAGCATCCTATGCAAAATATTGGTATCACACATATGAATGTCACACTTAGGTCTATTCAAGACATTTGAAGTTACTCTAACGTTTTATCACCACAAAATATTCTTTAGCTTTGATGTACAATTGTTACTAAAAAGCAGTCCTGATCCAGACTGGAAGAGAGGGTTCTAGGATCTCATGCAATAAATAATTTGGGTGGGCCCACAGAGGAAAGTGAAAGCAAATTTGTTAAGAAAGTGAAGGAATAAAAGAATGGCTACCACATAGGCAGAGCAGCTCCAAGGACTGCTGGTTGCCCATTTTTAAGGTTATTTCTTGATTATATGTGAAACAAAGGGTGGATTATTTATCCACCATGTAGTTACCATATAGGGTAACCTCGTGATGTTGTCATGGCATTTGTAAACTGTTATAACGCTGGTGGGAATGTAGCAGTAAGGACAACCAGAGGGCACTTTCATCCCCATCTTGATTTTGGTGGTTTTTAGCTGGCTTCTGTACTTCAACTTTTTTTATTAGCAAGGTCCTTATGGCCTGTATTTTGTGCCAAATTCCTGTCTCATCCTGTGAATTAGAATGCCTTCACCATCTGGAAATGCAGTCCAGTAGGTCTCCGCCTTATTTTACCCATCCCCTATTCAAGATGGAGTTGCTCTGGTTCAAACCCCTGTGACACAGTTGTTTCATATGCTACTAAACCAGAAATTGAAACTGGAAGAGAAACAACAAAATGGGTGTTCAGCACAAATAAGAAGTGACACTCTGTTATATAAGAATCAGTTGCATCCATGCTATTCTAGAGGTAAGATGTGACAAATTAATTCATCTGCCTTTTCTCTTACTGCTTTGGTTTTCTATTGTTGCTCTAATAATTGCTACAAACTTAAAGGCTTCAAAGCAAATTTATTATCTGACCTACACAGTTCTGTAGGTCAGAAATCCAACATAGATTGAACAGGGCTTTGTTTCTTTCAAGAGGTATTGGTGGAGAATCCACTTCCTTGCCTTTTCTCTTTTCCAGGACTATTGGTGGTTCATTGTCTCCTTCCTCCATCTCAGAAAGCCACATTGTTTCATTTCTCTAACCCTTTCACCACAGATATCTTTCTCTTTGATCCCATCTGGGAAAGGGCTCTGCTTTCAGAGACTCATGTGATTAGTGTGGGCACACCTAGGTCATCCAGCATAATCTCCCCATGTCCAGGATTTTGTAATTACACCTACAAAATATCTTTTGTCATGAGTCTGTCATGGCAAATGCCTACCACATTTACATAGGCCCTTTTGCTACAAATCCTTCCCATACCCTAAAGCAGTGTTTATTTCTAACATTCATAGCAGCAGATCCCAGCCATATTCATAGCACTCAGATATAATAACATTGGTTTCAAGGAAAAGAGATGTAGACAAGTGTTATCTTGGGACCTGAATGTTTTTAGTCCAAGAACAGAAGTTATGTTTATTAGTTTGTGTAGTGGTAATGCTGAGCACTACATCATAATGACAGAACTCTCCAGATTTTCTTTAAAGACTTGAATTTTTGTATTTGTGATATATAGGATTCATTAAGGGATAGGACTCAGAACTTTTAAGGTGATCTGGGTCTAAGCAGACTATTAAATATAAGAACAGGGTTGCTATAAACAAGATGCCTCCTTTGAAATAGTGAGAAACCAATAGATTGAAGAAATCATCCCTAGTTTATTTACCATGTGTTAGAGTCATCTCAGTGGTTTGCTGCTATTCCCAGATCTCTTCTTTCTAGGTACATGTTAAAATTGTACTTCACTGACTCTTTCAAGTTGGTGTTAGTTCAGAAACTGAAGGTTTAGGCTGGGTGTGGAAACTCACGCCTGTAATCCCAACACTATGGGAGGATTGCCTGAGCCCAGGAGTTTGAGACCACTCTGGGGAATATGGTGAGATCCTATCTCAATTTATTTAAAAAGATAAAAAGGTGGAAACTGTTGGTTCTGAGATTTTACTCTATTTGCAAGATAACAAGTTAGCCTGCCTGCGGAGTTTTATATCTATATGCTAACAGAAAATCTGAGGCCTCTGGATCAGAGACAAAAACAGTTTGTTCCTAATGGAAAAAGCTGCAGAAGCCAGAATAGTATCATAGTCTCTGTTCCCAAGCCCCAATTCATACAATATAATATGGTGAGGGCTAGATTGTATTTGCACGTGCATTGGACTGTACAAGAGAAACTCTTTTAGTTTAGGAGATTCTGATCTTGTATAGGGTTATTAATAATATGCCCATCTTTACCACTGGGAGAGAGAGAGAGAGACCTTATCTTTACACTGAAAGGTAAGCTAATCTTCTCCAGAAATAAAAAGAAAATATCTTTATCTTTACTACCCTGGAATAGCTTCAAAGAGAAAGACATCTCTAAAGTTTACTACCCTTTAATATATCATTGTGCTAACGTCCTTAACTTAGCTATAAATGCCTTTTTTTTATTATGCAGAAATGTGAGATAATCCAGGAGAATTATCTCTCAACAGTTAGGCATGATCTTATGACCTATTTGGTTAATAAATTACAAATGGAAATAGTCTGTAATACTTCCAGATGGAATCTTTTAAGAATCAGTGTGTGACTCACTATGTCCTTCCTCTTTCCTGAGTGACATGATACTTGCCAGAATTACTATAACATGAAACAAAGACTATAATAATTTGGGACTTGTGCATAAAGACAACAAACAAACAAAACAAACATATTTTTTATTTGAGTTACTGAAACATAATTGAACCTATTCTGATTTATACAACATAAAAATTAAGTGCCATGTTCTCTGAGTTATGACTCAATCTACTTTTTCGGTCTTCTGATACATATTATTATTTTACTTAAAGATAGCAAACTCAAATACAGTCAGTCCTCAATTTATAATGCTTTGACTTGTGTTTTTTTAAATTTACAATAGTGTGAAGCAATATGCTTTGAGTATAAATTATACTCCAGTACAGTATTCAGTAGATTACATGAGATATTCAACACTTTATAATAAAATAAGCTTTCTGTTAAGATGATTTTGCCCAACTATACTCTAAAGTAAGTGTTCTGAGCATGCTTAAGATAGGTTAGGCTAAACTATGATGTTCTGTAGGTTAGGTGTGCAAAATACATTTTTATTAAAATATTTGAACTTGTAACGAGTTATTAGGACTTAACCCTATCATAACTTGAGGAGCTTCTGTATTCACCATTCTTGAAAGTATTTAGAAATTACATGCATTCTTTTCCTTTGCTCAGAGTGATCCTTTGTCTTACCTATTCGTATCTCCAGTAGTAAAATCCATCTTATCTTTCTGACACAATGTCTCTCGGTCACTTTGCCAGCCAGAGACTTTCAGCTGGTGATGCCCCTGCCCAGGCCTTGCTCAAGCCCAGGTTCACTGCAGGAGATGCCTTGTCTACTTGTCCCATGGGACTGCACCTGGCTTTCACTCTGGCAAGGATCCTGTGGCTGCTGAGGCAGTGCCTTCAGCCCCTGGCAGGAGATGGTGTGTTAGTGAGCAAGTGAGGGGTCCAGCTGGCTGTTCAAAGAGGTGTCACAGGAGCGGGCTCTGTGTGAGGCTTGTGGCTAGACCAGGCATGTCACAAGCACCTCCCATGGTAGAATCTGGCATCCAGATCAGGGGAACATGGTAGCACTCAGGCAGGGTTGCCCATGACCCTCAAGCCCTAGAGAGGGTTTTGCAGCATCCTAATTAGCTCTTATAGTCTCTCTGCCTACAGCCTGATAATGGTGGCGTGTTAACAGCTCTGTCAGCCTTTTCCCCGCACCACCCTGTGGCTCTAGGGCTGGCTCGGCCCCAGCGCTGCTTCCCTTCACATGGGGCAGCTTCCCTCCACAGGCAGAGGGCAGAGGGCTACAGTATTACAGCCTTCTTTGTACCCACATTTGATGGGTACTGAGTTCTTGTCCTGTGTCCAAGAAGAATGAGGATACACTGATATTTGGAGGGAGAGGAGGGTGGAGAAGAATTTTATTGAGTGATGAAATAGCTCTCAGCAGAGAGGGGATGTGAAGGTGGTCTCTCACCCAGAGTCTGGTGGTCTTTCTCCATGTGGCTGGGTCTGGGGCTTTTACGGGATCAGAATGAAGAGTGCATGCTGATTTGTTTGTGAGTATGCAAAAAAGGCTAAAACAAAGCCACCACTCAAAGAGGGGCACAACCATGTAAAAAACCAATTAGGGAAGGGTAGGTATATGTAAAATAGGTGAAGGGTAGGGATCAATGAAAGGAAATTGCACCAAACAGGAAGAGAGATTCAATCTGGTCCGTGGATTCACCTGGCACTTGTAGCTTGGCTTTAAATTGTCTTCGACTTGAAGGTCAGGGTTCACTGGAGACCCACCCTTGTCTGCCTAGGATTTGTCTGCCTCTTGCTGCTATAGTTTCAAGACAAAGATTGTGTCACTTTTTAAACAAAGTCTTATACTATTTTCTCTAGAAATGTTATAACTTTTAAGCATGCCACTACTTGATAATTATATTTTATATATTTTTTCAAATTCTGCTTTTTTTCATAATCGTATATAAAAATCTCTGGTACTGCTGATCAGGAGCTATACCAAAAAACTAAGAACGAGATTTTGTACCAATAGAAATTAAGAAATGCTTAGTGAGTTGCATGATCTTCAGTTAACATGGTTGTAAGCTTCTAAAAGGTATACAAAATAATTTTCTAATAAATGAGTTAAAAGTATTCTTTGTTTTATATGAAGAGTCTGCATTTCTTATACACATTTATATTGTTATAAATTGAAGACATCTAAATTGCAGCATGGATATGTATTTATGATAAACCCCAAATTATTGATGCGTTAAGATAATGTTTGCATGTATGCCAGACAAGAATAGAAATTCAGATGATTAAGGTGATTAAGTACCTATCCACTGGTGGAAGGGTGAGGGACTGTGGTAAACTAAAGAGTATATGCTTGCTTTATAAAATGCAATCATTAATGAGTTCTCATAGTTATGCAATGAGGGAAGGTAGGGCTAGTATTTTGAAATCTTCCATGTGATCAATCAATACTGAGCATAGGAAATTTAAGCAAAATATATATATTTATTTTAAAAATCAAGACAAAAATGAATATTGACTGTATATTTGTGTTAAATTATCAATTATATATTTTATTACGATAAGGTAATTAGCATAGCCAACTAGTACAAATAATTATCCAAAAGACAATTCATCAATTTTGCAATGAAATTAGGAGACTATGAAACTTTTGTCTATTACAAATTGTGTTATTCTCATGATTTTGTCTTTAATGAATGAATTCAAAATCATATAGATTTCTTTTTAATTTTTAAATTATATAACTTTCAATAACAAAGAGATTCTGTCACTCTTATTCATATTATATAATTGTTTTTGTTTTATACTTTGGCAATTATAGTCAGCCTAAAGATTATATTTCATGCTTAAAACTCCTGAGAATTATATCCCATTTGGATTTTTCTTACTTAAGAACTTTATACATACAAATATTATTTCTGTGAACTCCCATTTTTTCTTGTCCTATCTAGTTTCATTTTCTGAAAAGAAAACAATGGCTTCAATACCTTTGACTTTTTTTCAAAATCTTAATTTGTTCTGAATTACAAAAGATGCATAGAGAGCTATCTTTTGGGAAGTGTAATCCCAGTTCTCAGCATGAAAAATGAAATGATATAAATGTAACATTAATCTACTTGACAGGAAAAAGGGGGAGTTATATCTTTCTTTTATTCTAAAGTTAATTTTCTGAACTTACTCTCAATACAAGTTCTGAGGTTTCTGAGAAAATTGAATTTAAGCTCAGATAATATCCTATAGAATGACAAAATTAATATTTTTATGCATATTTTGCTTGCAATACAAATTATAGCCTCAGGGCATTTTTGAAAATAGTCTTAATAAAGAAGATTCCATGGTCTAATATATGGAAAAAATGTTGACCCAGTGCTTCTACTACTCTTTAGCTGGAAACCTATATTTCAACACTGCCTGAACCTACTTTTCCAAAGCTGAATCCTCATAATGCCCACAATTCAGTGGATGGAATTATGGAACTTTTCTTCTAGAATAGGAAATCAGTTTTAGGAATCTCTCTTTCATCATTGGTCTTAGGTCTTGTTCTAGCATGGGGCCAATAAATGCTTTTGATTGAGCATTTTATTTATTTCACTTTAAGTCTTCAAAACACATAGAATCTAATCTTAAATAATGAAGCTCAGTCTTAAGGTCAGCCTAAAACATGTTCGTGCAAATTTTTTGATGCTGAATGATATGCTTGTTTTCTAGACATTTCTGGTATGTCAGTAAGGTAGAGAAATTGACCTCATTGTGATTAGGTGTGGTGTAGCAGTTAGGATCACTAAATCTGTAGTAAAATAACTTACCTTCAGATTCTTATTATTTATTCCTAGATTTAACTATTAAATTAGATAATACAGGCAAAATATTAATCTCAGTGCTTGGCACATGAGAAGCTCATGTTTTAACTCCAGAGACTTCTATCTCTTTCCATTGGCATTTTCTCTCCATCACTCCTTTTCTTGCGTCAGGTACACTGGCGTGGCAGTGGACAGTCAGGTAGACTGGCATAGCAGTGGACATTTTTGAGATCAAGCCAAGGAAATATTAACTTAAAATATGTTTAGTTTGGAGTTGGGGGATATATTTATGGGCTTTATAGAACTTCTTTGTATAGTTATTATATTAAGTTTCTATCACTATATTACAAATTACTACAGACTTAGTGATTTAAGACAATATTGATTTATTTTTTAATCTAAACATTGATGTGAGTTGAAAGTTGTGCACTGTTGACCTGTGTTCTATGATTGTATTTCACACAAAGCTAAAGTCAGCGTGTCGGCTGAGCAGCATTTCTTTCTGTTCCTTTCTGAAAGATCCTCTTTCAAGATTATGGGCATTATAGGGAGGCAAAATGCAATTCCTTGCATTTGTAGGACTGAGACCTCCATTCTGTTTTTGCTTGTCAGTGATGGATCACTCTCAGTTTCTAGGGGCACTCAAAGTTCCTTGCCAGTTGGCTTCTTTTGTAGGCCTTCTCACATCCTCATGCTCTGAATCTCTTCCTTCAGAAAGAGCTTAGTCCCTTTTAGAGTTTACCTGATTATGTCAGGCCAAACCAAGATGGTCACCTTTTGATCAACTCAAAGTTCACTGATTTAGAACTTTATTACATTATAGAATCCCTCATCTTTTTAATGTAATGGAAACTAATCATGGGAGTAATATCTATCATATTCACAGTTCTGTCCATATGTTATATGGATTATATGGGGAAAAGATTATACAGGGTGTACACACCAGTAACCTAGACTCTCAGAATTTATCTCAGAATTCTCTCCTACTTCAATTAATTACTACCAGTCATCCCAGAGGAGAAATGACTTTCAGCAGCATGCTTAACAAGTGCTTTGATGACTCATCAGGTACCATGACATTTAAGAGCACAGCCAGATATATGAAAGTGGCCTACAGTACCTGGTAATAAAAATATGGGAGTATATAAATGCAAGGTTGCACAAGAAAACTTGAAATGCCCTGAGGTTTGACAGCATATCTGAAAATTGGTAGAATTTCCCTCAACTTTGATAATAATCCCCCAAATTTTCTTCACACTAAAGAGCTGTGAGGATAAAAGAAACTCAACATTCTGAATTAGGAAAGATTACAGTCAGCAATGTTAAAAGAAAGACTACATTATTTTCCTTTAGAAAATTTCATCATTAAAGAGGCAAAGAATATGCACCTGGAACAGGGAAGTAAACATGTATTGTAATTTGTATTTTAATTTTGGATATATGTGTGACATTTGGCAGCTTTTAAAAATTTGTGATGTGTTTGATTTTTTTAACTTATGGAAATAGTCACTTTAATTTCTAATTTTTATTCTTTTCCTTGAAGAGTCCCTATATTTTGTAAACTTTAGTTCCTAGAAAATCTGTTGCTCTGTTATTATTGTTATTAAACTTTGAGCATATACAGCTTGGGGTAATAAACCTTAAGATCTCTGCATGTTGTAGAAACAGAAAATTAACCCATGTTTATTGTTTAAAATATTAAATACATATAAAATATAAAAAATAAATCCATTAAACTTACTTCAAAACCCACCACACAAAGATGAATACTATCATTTTTCATGGTGGAGCAAAGCCATCACCTCCTATGTAGTCTGGAGATGTATTTTATTGGTTATCTTATTATGAGTATAGAATCACCAGTTAGTGGTTTCTTGTAGGTTTTCTTATTAAACTCATCCCTAAAATGCATCTATGAGAGGAAAATAAAAATCTCAGAACTCTAAACTCCCTGTGCCAAAGGGAAAATTCAAGCTTGGGAAGTGAGTCATGTGAAAGTGCTTCCCGTTTTTTCCTAAATAGATAACTATAAAGACAGAAGGCCATGTAACTCCCCATGAGGCCTCCCTCATAATTTGCTGATGAGGAAATTTTTTTGTGGGCCCAAGATGTTTAATCTAAAAAAGAGTTCTGTTAAATTTCAGTCTGACAATGTAAATTAACAGTTTATGTTCAGCTTTACTTGTATCATCTCCAAATAATAACACTTCTTGCTGTAATAATCGAACCCAGCCACTCTCTTCACCCTTCTGGTGAAACCCTTCATGACTGTATTCTGATGATTGACAAACTTCTGACCCCCAGGGTAGACCTCCAGGGGATACCACTGGTTGGTATACAACTGGATCTTATTTGATAGAGGAGGATAGACATTTTAGAGTGAGATATGATGCGGTTTCCTTATTAGAGGAAATTGAAGCTGGTCCTCTTTCCCAAGCTACATCAGCTCAAGTGGACAGATTGATTGCCCTGACCTGAGCTTGTCAATTGACAAAAAACAAGACTGTGAAGATATATACACTGACAGCTACTATGCATTCACCGTTGCCCATAACTTTGATGCTATGGAAGAGGAGATAATTTAAATCTCCTCATGGAAACCCATAAACAATGAACAATAAGTATCAGAGCTGTTAGAAGCCATTCTAAAATCAAAACTTTTGGTGATTATAAAAGTCCCAGGCCACTTTAAATTGTACACAACTGAAAGTTGGGGTAATCAATTTAATGGTGATACAACCAAAAGAGCAGCAGCATTCAAGACAATAGCCCCAATCTGGGGAGTATCCGTAAAACCCCAAACACTTGAAAACATGTTAAATGAAACCAAGAGCATGGCCCCAACAAAAGAAAAATCTACTTGGAAACAAAAAGGAGAATACTTTTCTCGTGAAACTGAAATATGGTGTGGACCTGATAACAAATCCATTTTTCCAATGGGATGAAAGATGCTTCTTATGGGATATATTCACAATCTGACTCATTGGAATTCAGATAAAATAAGATCCTGATATAGACAATGTTATTGGATGCAGTCCATCACAGTGGCACTAAAAGTTTACACCTGATATGTTATTTGTCCCAAATATCATCCAAGGAAGCCCCTCCATGGAGCCCAAGGTCATTTCCCCCTTCCAGCTGGACCTTTTGAGGTATGGCAGCTCAGTTTAATCCAGCTGCCTTCATCTCAAGTTTACAAGTGTGTTTTATTGATAATCTGCATGTTTTCCCATTGGATTAAGGTTTTTCTCTGCAACCAAGCAACAGTGATGGCAGTTGGAAAAAAATCCTATTAGAAAATAATTACTCCACTCTGGGGAGTTAGTTCCCTCTGAACTTCTCAGTGATAGGGTAATTCATTTTACTGCCCAGCTCATTCAAAATATTTGTAATATTTGGCACATATTTCAACTTTTCCATTGTGCCTATCACTCCTAGTCCTCAAGACTGGTGGAATGGACCAATAGAATAATTAAAACACAATTGGCTAAGTTTGTAGAGGCTTTTCACCGCCCCCAGCCCAAAGAACCTCCCTCGTGCTACTTACAGTCATATTCACACCTTTTGGAAAACATCAACTACCCCTTTATAAAATTATAACAGGAAGGCCCATGTGCATGGGAACTAAAATTATGGAACCAACCTTTCTCAAGAGAGATCCACCGCAATATTGTAAAGGACTTATTCATCATCTTTCAAAAAGCTATGTTTTGGTAACAGATTCTATTCACAGTATGCTCCCTAAAGACACAGTTTCTGGTCATAATATATAGCCTGGAGATTTTTTGTGTTGGAAAAGACCTTTAATAAAGACTTTCTCTAGCCCTGGTGGAAGGCCTCATATGAGGTACTATTGACTAATTCATGTGTGGCAAAATTAACGGCATAGACTCATGAATCCATATCTCTCCTCTTAAAAAGGCACAAGCTTCCAAGTGAACTGTGACTTCTACTGAGGATCTTCACCTTCAGTTCACTAAACAACTATGGCCTTTGACCTAGAACTAGAAGCAGACTACATCTGTTGTGGACTGCTTTAACTCAAGACTCTGGACCAGGCCTGTATACAAATGAACACTTGTGTTTATTGTATTATAGCCATCATAATGATTTTCCTGGGGATACAGGCAATTGCTACTATCTGAAGCAGGACAGGACACATGTCAGGTCTGTTTTAATGTCTTTTTTAGTAGTTAAAATGAATTTCACAATCTCACTGCTATTTATTCTTTGTCCCTATGCCTTCTTACCACTGCCGCCCACTGTTGCCTATGAAACAAAACTGTTTTTACAATGAGCTCAGGATTATGCAGACAGATTACAAAAAATAAATAAATAAATAAATAAAAATAATGCCTCTGGATATGCAAACTCATGCCTCTTTTCAGTGGCTCTGGCCTGCCATGGTGGGTATCTCTCTTCCAAGGTCAGAACAGAACAGAATACCAACAACTTATTTCATAAAAAAAAGCTTGGCATTCTTAGTGCCGCCATAACAAAAGACAATACGTATACTCAGTACACTAATAACACCCTAAAGAGCAAGGGACACGGAAAAAGCTTTTCAGTGGAAAGGACCGGCTCACTAGCCCTCACCTTAGTGTCCCCTGAACTAAAGGAAGAAGCAATAACCACATTCTTGGTAACTGCCTATTTTTAAAACGTGATAAATCCAATTTGGGATGGTTTTATGTGGCTCACTCCTTCATTTGGCCAACTCAGTCAAAATTCTCCTTTATGCTGGGAACAGAGAAACCATATCAAGGACCAATGACCAGGCAGTACAACAGATATAAAACGGCTACCTAGAGAACTTTGTGACCACATTATTATATTACAAACACTGACTGGCATGTCACCAATATGGTAAAGCAACTATGTATTTATTGGCTAGCTGCAAATGGGACATATTGGCTCTTAGCACTCACTTATGGCTGTGGATTCCCCAGGATGGTTAGGATGATGTTATCCAGGTTATGCTTGGGAACAAAGATGAGTAATTTCAACTCTGCCAACACGCAAACCCTTTGCATTTACAATCTCACTGGAAACTTTTTGTATTTCAATAGTATGACCACTTAGCTTCTATCTTCATACCACAGATAAGTATCGTGAATGTCATATGGCAATAGAGGCCTTAACAAATCATACCTCAAAGGCCCTGAATGATTGCCACATAAGTATCTCTTTGCTAAACAATGAGGTATCACTTATGAGGAAAGCTGTGCTGAAAAATTATACGGCCATAGACATACTTGCTGCAGCCCAAGGGAGGAACTGCACCATCAAAAAACTAAATATTGTGTTTATATCCCAAATGAATCAAATAATATAACATGAATCAAATAATATAATATAATCAAATAATATCCCAGATGAATCGATATGAAAACTCAAATAACCAATCTGTCAGATCCCCAAATCTCACTAATCCACTGGATGAGTGGTTGCTTTGGATCCTGGGAATTTATGACAAAATGTATTGTTTATAAGAGAAATAATAATTTGCTTACAATATTGTTACCATCCATGTTTATAATAAAGTCAGCATACACCAGAATAGGTTAGCATAATGTTGGCCCAAAGGATTGCTCTGATTGAGGAGGTGGTAGCGTGGCATGAACCAGTTTCCAGGATTGCTTTTCCTTTGTTGCTAAAAATCTGGCCTCAGTCTTTTTGTTTGTTTCCTTTTCTTTTTCTTTCCTTCACCTGTTTTTGTTTTTTCCTCTCCATGGGACATCTCCTGTGATGAGACTTCCTAGCAATGTGGGACCTGAACAACTAGGAATAAACCATCCTAGTGATATTGAATAAGATCAAAACCCATAACCAGAGATTCATTTTCCTCTACAATGTTTTCTCTAAAAGATTTTTAAGAATGTTGAGGAAATGTGAAAGTAAAATCAAAATCTTGGGACTCCAAACTTGCTATGCCAAGGGGAAAAGTTAAGTTTGGGAACCAAGTTACACAAAACTGCCTCACATTATTTTTTTTTCCCTAAATAGATAGCTACAAAGATAAAAGGCCACATACCTCTCTATGGGGACTCCCTCATAACTTACTCACAAGGAAATACCTTGTGGGCCCCAAGGTCTTTATCCTAAAACAGAGTTCTATTGAATTTCATCTGACAATGTAAATTAACAGTTTATCTTCACAGGTAGGAGGTAAAGATAGGACCAGAACTCATCCTTCTGCTCAACTAAGGCAAATGAATATTTGACTGCTTTCTCTACTCTATGTTTACTTTATCTTATGTAGAAATGCTGACAAACTGAGCAAGAGATGAGAGGAGATAAATGTGTTACTGACTATTCCATAGAATGTGGATTCAATGAAAGCGGATCAAAGTCTCAAAAGAATGTACCTGCTTGTTTCTTTTATCTACCCTCCCCCTTGTTTTTCTTTTCTCTTTCCTCTACTGCCTGCTCTTTCCCCATTAAATATTGAAGTCCTCAAACCCTCTTTGGAAAATGCACGGATTACAGATGTTCCTGTGTTTTTGTGTTCCTTTTTCCCAGGCGCGTCCTCAGCCTTGGCCAAATAAACCTCTAAACTGATTAAGACTCACCTCAATAATTTTCTTTGTTTTACAATTGTATAAGAGTTCATGTTTTGGGTTCTTAAGAGTATGAACTTAAAAGCCATAGTAAAGAAATCTGAGGGCAGACTAGATTTTGTATGATTTTTTTACCCCATGAAAGTATTCTTTTTAAGCTACCAAGTTTGTTGAGTCTTCTAAAATATTAATGTGTCATAAAAGCATTACTTTTACAGTAACATTTTTGCATTTCAAATTCAAACTCATATGACCCTTGGCAAAGTGGAATACAGCTTACTATTGTAGATCATTTAGAATGAGTTGGTTTTCTATACATTTTGCAGTGAAATTAAGGGCATTGAGTAGTTATGAAACAGTTGGTAACTTAAGAGAGGATGGATTATTATTCATAGCATTTCATTTTGTTTATATTTAAATTTATACTTACTGGCATAATTAAAATTTTTAAAGTAGTATTTTGTAATATTTTCTTTCTCTTATTAATATAACATTGTTTTTTTCTGTCTTTTTCTGTCTTTTTTTGTTTTTGAGATGGAGTTTCAATTTGTCACCCAGGCTGCAGTGTCTGTCATTAACTATGTATCTACATGTCAATATAGCCTTCATATTGACTTCACCAAAGCTAAATTAAACCATTTATTGGGTTATTTCAAATAATTTTTTCTTCTGTTACTTCCCTTTGAGTTATTTCTGCTCCCTTATACAATTTTATATTTGTCTTTCTTAAAACAAATTATGAGTTTTGAAGGTTTTATGTTAATTACTTTTAGATTTAATTATGTTATATAATTTTTCTAATTTCTAGATTATTTTTATGTTCACTTTATAATCCCTTTATCCTTTATTTCTTTTGATTTTCATGTCTATTTTAATGTTGCCAGATCTATCAAATAAAAATATAACATGCCTAGTTCAACTGAATTTTAGACACACAATAAGAATATTTAAGATATATTTATGCTAAAAATGATCTGAAATTCAAATTGAACTGGATATCTAGTATTTTATGTGGCCATCCTATTCTATCTTTTTAAGTGAATATTAGTGGATTTCTAACAGTTATCGCGTAATGTTAAACTTACATAACTCTTAACTTGCCTCCCACAAAGTTTTGGCAATAGTTTTGATTGAGTGTTAGCATTGCTTTTATTTAAACATAATATTCTGTTTATTTTTTACTGCTTTTTAAACTCAGTTATGTAGAGTTTTGAATATGCACCTGTATATACTGTAATATATTGAGCTATACCAAAATTATTTAAACATTTTTTGTTTTACGTGCTAATATTTTATGCGTAATTCAGAGGAACTTTGTACTAGATATCAATAATGTGATTGGCAATAGAAATATGGTCATATGATAATTGTTTTATTCCAGATATGATGGTGGCAGCTGCATATCAGTGTGGTGGCAAAATGAGTGAACCTAGGAGGTTTGTGTTGTCAGTTTTGGCATGGAACATCACAAGATGAACAAATAATAGAGGGAAAGATATCCTTTTTCATTCCCTGAAGAGCAACTGTAGGTTTCTGAGCTGAGCTAATGACACTGAGTCTGTGCAAACTGTTGCTTTCCCAAATGCAGGACATCTTTACCTTGGGTTACAACTTAAGTCAACTTGGATAGAACATCACTGGACTCTTTTGACTGTAAGAACTATAAGACAATGCAATATTCAAAAGAAAGAGGAAAGTTTTTCCAATTTTTAAAAAATTCAAATGTTTGCCTTTCTCATTGAAACAATTAAATATAAATTTATATTTACATTTATTTTAAATAGTGAATCCATAATTTCCTAAGTTTTGTTTTTGTTTCAATTTCTAGAAATGCCTAAAAAATCAATCAGAAGTTTCGTATCTACATAAGCATAAAACTGACAATTACATACTTTTTAATCTTTGAGAAAATTGATTACTATACAATTCAATCCCAAATAGTGAAGATATCTATCAGCAATTGCAATGTACATGCATTTCAAATGCAGTGATTACAGGAACACACATATATGTTAGGTGTAAAGCCAATATGGGATACATTGGCTCAAGGTAGCAGTAGAGCTCACAAGAGGAACTGTGGAAAGTGGTAAGAGATAAATGTCTTTCATAAGGTTCAGATTCCTGCTGAAGAATTTTGACCTGGATATGAGAAAAGTGGAGATAAATTGTACATAGGTTGTTGTTTCTGAGGCAGATTAGAAGGGGAGATTAAATAAATATAGGGTGTTGTTAAGAGACATCTGGATCACCACTGATGAAAAAGCAGTGCTACTCAGAGGGGATGGTGATGGCATTTTATGGCCACTGAATGACATTGAAAGAAATGATGTTTTCTGGTAAAGTTGCAGCTGGCTTTATCTCAATCTGTTCTTCCCAAACGACTGAACTGCAGGACTGCTTTTTCTTTTTCATTCTTACATGATTTTTAACTCTTAAAACAAGGCTGGTTTTACTGTTGGAAATGTATATCTCTAACTCAGAACATTTTATTTCTTCATGAAAAGTAATATCAACTTCCAGTCTTTCACCTAAAGCATACAAAAATAGAATAACAAATAATGGTCTGTCCATAAATTGTAGGTGAAATTATTATCTCATTAGACAGTTTTAGTAAAAGAATTAACAATGCCAAAAGAAAAAAGGGGAAAATTTGACTTAGTCTAACTAATTGTTAACAGGAAAGAAAGAGAACTAAGTAAGAGAAACCAGGAATACTTATCAGAAGCTATCAAATTTGCTGAAACTCAGGAAAACAGGAGCATAATACAGTGCTTGAGATGATTAAAAATTTGACTCAGAAGCAACATTCACTTTAGTAGCAATAGTAGTTGGAAGCTCTAAGAATACAGTCCCAGTGCAAACATAAATGTGCCTGACATGTACAGTGGGATCATCCTTGAATCTTGGATCTTTGGAGGACACTCCTTCTATTTACTTATTTTTAATTTTTCAATTTACCATTGCTCTTTTTATTTTTTTCGGCTAAGTGCAGTCTGATGAATATTTATAGTATTTGGAAAATAACCACAATTATTATTTTTAAAGTATTTTTTTTTCTGATTAGCTCACAAAGTATTCAAACAATCCCTCCTATTAATACTGTTAATATTATGTCCTAACAGTCCAATTCTGTATCCTAAACAGCTATCAAATTCTGTCAGTCTCATAATCCCACATACAGTGCTTTGGCCCAGGTTATTAGTACTATTACTAAATGACTAAAATAACATTTTATGTGATTCCTTCCATTATTTTGTTCTTGTCAATTCCATCTACATAGGACAGAAAAATACAGTTTTCTATAACACTAATGTAAAACCTCCAATTTGTTCTTTCCGTGCTAAAATATAATTTGCAAAAAAAAGAGGTGCTATTATATAAAAATAACTTTTTCAATTTTAAACATTTCAATAAAGTATTTAAAATCCATTTTAAAATTTTATGGCAACTTCTCTATTTATAATTGGAGAGAATTTGAGATTTTAAAGTTTCAATAATCTAAATACTATTTCTTTTTGTCTTTCTGTGCACAATTTGTAAAGGCAGAAAGTACTCAAAGTTAACACTCTATCAAACTTTACATACAGGAATATGTAAATACTCATGTATTTACATAGTTTGTTACAATGTATAAATAAACTCATGTTAAATATAGTTGTGACAGTATTTTTACATTTTCATTATACATTCTAAACATTTTAAACATAAGTTTCTAAGATTCAATCTGTCTTCATTCTGTTACTTATAATAACTCTTTGCAAATGACAAAATATGATTAGCTGCCATGAGCAGGTTAATTTCAATAGCTTATTGAAATGCTTGTCAGATGTTACTAAGCATTAAAACACCTCAGGGGTACAAATAGTATCAAATAATTGTTCCTCTGAAAATTGTAGAATATGAAATGTGTTCAAATTCCAGATGTTTATAACAAATAATGGGACACTAAGACAAAAGAATAATGTTTTATTGGCTTTTCAGAAAGGAATAACATCTATCTTCTACCTCTAAAATGATTTCATTTTAGAATATTTATTATGGTATAATCACCCCTCTTGGATTTTGAAAACTTTACTTGTCTCTTGTGTCTTATAATACATAACTGTATTTCTCCAGTAGCTTATAATAATCAGACAGTATTCACTGCCTTGTTTGTATTGTTTATTATTCTCCTGGTATCTGAAGTGTACAATTAAAAGGGAAACTAAAACCCTGTTTTTTTAAAAATAAGACAGCTAGCTAACTTTCAGATGACTACCTTAAGTTTGCCAAAATACAAGACATTCAATTAAGAGGCTTATAAGTTATTAATAAATTTTAGCTCTTTTAAAAGGGAAAGAATGGAAATTCCCACTGTTACTTTGAAGTAACTTATCACTATGACAAATTAATTGGTGTAATTAGTGACTATTATCTCTCATTATTGAAATAAGATATCTTCGTGGAATACATTTAATGAAGGAGGTGTTTATTATATTCAAGATGTGATCTCTGAACTTTTAGAAGTCTGTAGATGATAAATTGTTTTTTAATACAGCACCTATTATGAACAATAGTCAAGCAATTTTTGAACCTAATAATTTAAACAGAAGATTAAATTTAATGTTACAATGCAGTGAAACCAAAACAAAAAGCTTTTGAAGCCATTTTTTTTAAACTTCATGTAATTGCGGGGGTGACAGTGGCAGTGTATATGTTATATTTAATGAGATGATGTTCTACTGTTAACAACATTGAACCAAGTAAATATTTTCTAATGATATTTCATATGTTTAAGGCCTTCAAAATTGCCTTATGGCATTGTAAACAAGCAAGCTACTGCTTCTCAGCCATCAGAATTCCCAGTCACTAGAAGGACAATATGTGAAGGTCAGGAGGACCCAAACATTTTTGCTCAAAACTCAAAACAGTTAGGCTGTTTTAGAAAACTTTGACTGTAAGATATCTAATAATGAAACCACTCAGCATTCCAAAGCCCACAGAAAGTTTCAGAGGCCTTCTGAGGCTATTTTATTAAACCATTTAATGAAAGTCTTGTAAATTGCAAAGCTGGGTGTTTACTATTGTTCCATTTATTTATTTCTGCCTGGAAAGTGCCCCAAATTTAGTGCCTTAAAACAAAAAATATCATTTCTCATGGTTCAGTGTATTGACTGAGCTCAACTGGGTCATTTTTCCTTTTGCTTTCCTGTGAGGGTACAGTTCTAAAGGGTGGCCCACTAACTTAGCTAGCAATTGTTGTTGTGGTGGTTGGCACAGGAACAAAGCAGCTGAGCTCTTAGATAAGAGTTTCTGTATATGATCTCACCACATGACTGTAAGCTATTGTATTGTACTATGAGTTATTAGACACTAATATGTTATCTAGATAAAATTAAAACATTTCTAGAAATACACAATCTACCAAGACTAAATTACATAGAGCTAGAAAGTCAGAATAGACTTTCAATTCAAGAAGAATGAATCGGTAATCCAAAATCTCCTGACAAACAAAAGCCCTGGATCTGATGGCTTTGCTGATGAATTCAAATATTTAAACAAGAACTAACACCAATCTTTCTCTACTTTTCCAAAAATTTGAAGAGGAGGTAACACTCCCTAACTCATTCTATGAAGTCATCAGTACCTTGATCCCAAAGCTGGATAAAGAAGGTACATTAGAAGAAAACTAGAGACCAATATCTTATAGACATCCACACAAAAATCCCCAACAAAATACCAGCCAACTAGAATTATACACCATGGCCAACTAAAATGTATTCCTGTAATACAGGGATGGTTCAACTTATAAAAATCGATCATTGCAATACACCACATTAATAGAAGGAATACATAAAACCTTCAATTGATTTGCCACCCTTTCATGATAAAAACACTCAACCCACTAGGAATATAAGGAGACAGCCTCTGCATAATAAAACCCACATATAAAAAAACCACAGCAAATATCATACTCAATGGTGAAAGAGTGAAATCTTTTCCTCTATGATCAGGAACAAGGAAAGAATAATTATCTATATTCATAGATAATATTATATTTAGAAAATCCACCCCCCATACACACAAAGTCTTAGAACTAATAAACAAATTCTGCAAAGTAGCAGGATACTAAGTAAACAACAACAACAACGGCAAAAAAAAAATTAGTTTCATTTCTATATTCTAATAATGGGCATTCCGAAAAGGAAATTTAACAAGCAATTTCCTTTACTATAGCAGAAGAAAGAATAAGATACTTAGGAATTAACTTAACCAAGAAGATGAAAGTGTTGCACAGTGGAAACTACAAAACACATTGGAAAAAAATAAAGAAAACATAAATAAATGGAAAGAAATCCTGTGTTTCTGGACTGGAAGATTTAATATTGTTAAGGTGCCCCAACGACCCAGTGATCTACAGATTCAATGTAATTCCTAACAAAATCCCAATTTTTTTTTGTAGAAATAGAAAAAACTATCCTAAAATGTACATACTATCTTATAGAATACCTAATTTTCAAAAGAATCTTGAAAAGAAAAAAAAAACCTGGAGGACTCCACTTCTGATTTTAAAACTTACTCTAAAGCTACAGTAATCGAAACAGTGTAGTATTGGCATAAAGACAGAAATATAGAGCAATGGAATAGCCTAGAGATTCCAGAAACAAACATTTACATATATGGTCAAATGATTTTAAACAAGGGTGCAAAGATTATTAAATTGAGAAAAACAGTCTTTTCAACTAATGGTGCTAGGAAAACTGGATATCCACATATAAAAGAATAAAATTGGACCATTACCTAACATTGCAAACAGAAATGAACTCAAAGTGGATCCATAACATAAATGTAAGAACCAAAACTGTAAAAGTTGTAGAAGAAAACACAGGTGAAAGCTTCAAAACACTGTATGTGTCAGTGATATTTTGACCATGATTCCAAAGGCACTAGCAACAAAAGAAAAAAATAGACAAATTGGGACTACATGAAATTTTTAAAAAGTTGTTCATAGAAAGCCACTAATGACAGAGTTTTAAAAAGACACCACACAGAAATTGTCACCACAGAATATACTTGTAAATCATATATCTAAAAAGGGATTAATGACCAGAATATATATAAAACTTAACAATAAAATGTCCCAAACAACTTTGTTAACAATTGGAAGAAGGACTTGTAAAGCCATTTCTTCAAAGAAGATATATAAATGACCAATAAGTATATGATCAACAGCACTAATAATTTGAGGAATGCAAACCAAAACTACAGTGAAATTCCATCTCACAACTATTAAAATGGCTACTATCAAAAACAAAACCAGAAGTAAGTGTTTGTAAGGAAATAGAGAAATTAGAATTATTGTACACTGTTGGTGGGAATGTAAAATGGTATAACCACTGTAGAAAACAGTACGGCAGCTCCTCAAAAAAAAAATAAAAAATATGAAACTGCCATCTAATTCAGCAATTCTTCGTAATAAATACTCCAAAGAACTAAAAGCAGAGTCTCTAAAAGGTATTTACACTTCCATGGTCATAGCAGCATTATTCACAATGCTACAACATGGAAGTCAACCAAGTGTGTATACTGGAATGAATGCTCTAAATATATGGGGTGGGTGTGTGTGTGTGTGTGTGTGTGTGTGTGTGTGTGTGTGTCTATACTGGAATGCTAAGCAGTCTTAAAAATGAAGGAAATTCTGACATATGCTACAACATGTATGAACCTTGAAGACATTCTGCAAAGTGAAGTAAGCCAGTCACAAAAGCATGAAAACTATGTGATGCCATGTATATGAGATATTCAGAATAATAGAGACAGTGTGGAATGGTTCATTGCCAGGGGATGTGGGAAAGAGAAATGGGTAGTTATCATTTAATGATTACAGACTTTTAGTTTTACAAGGTGAAAGAGTTCTGGGGAAACATAGTATTAATGGTTGCACAGCAATTTATATGGCCTTGATAACATTGAATTGTACACTTAACAATGGTTAAGACTGCACACTTAACAATGGTTATGTACATTTTATGTTAATTGTATTTTAACACAATAAAAAATAGAAAAAAATGGAAAACAATCTAATATTTTCTATGTAAGTAAATATTTTATTTGTTTTTCATCTTCCCAGATTTCTTCTCAGGTCATTGAGAAACTATGTACTCAATAGATGATGATGGGTAGATTCCAAAATATATGCAAACAGATACTATTTCAATCAACTCAGTATATATCTCTGGTTCTTTAAGCCTATTTTATGCACTTTATTAAAAAGAGCTTTATTATTATTTTTTCTCTTAGAGAATATTATGACACTGTGACAAATACACTTGAATATATGTATATTGAAGTTGGTATTTTAAGTTATGCCTTATTGTTAGAACTGGGCATATGCTAGGTACAGATGGGCTACTATGAGCACAAAGTAATGGAGAAGAGCAAAGCAGGATACATTTGTGTCAGGAGGTTTTTATTGGATTTACTTGCTTTGGACTAATTGTAGTTGTAGGCATCTTTATTTTCTTACTCTTATTTTACTCCTGGATCCATCTTTGTCTGACTTTTTAATCTGACATATGCTACAAGATGTATGAACCTTGAAGACATTCTGCAAAATGATATAAACCAGTCACAAAAGGACAAAAACTATATGATTCCATGTATGTGAGGTACTCAGAATAATAGAGGCAGTGTAGAATTGTTGGTTGCCAGGGGATGGGGGGAAGAGGAATGGGTAGTTATTGTTTAAGGAGCACAGGGTTTTAGTTTTATAGATTATAAAATGTAGATTTACAGATTATAAAATGTAGAAACCAGTTTATATGACATGTGATTTGCATATCAATGCTTTTTTGGGAATTACCAATGATTTGCAGTTTCTGTTCTTAGATGCTTCTCTCTTCTTGTGGGCTACTTTGTATTCCCAATCATCTGATAAGGCTTAACTCACTTTGTCTTTAAGCCTCAGGTTATCTCCAGATGACTTCTAAATCTAGCTGATGAAGTGTCAAGAATTCAGTTCATTTCAACAAAATCTCTCTTTATAGTCTCATCAGAGTTATTAATTCTTGTCTACTTCAAGTGATAATTATAAAGTCAATAAAATGTGTGTGTAAAAATACTTTGCAAAATTCAATGGACTGTGAAAAATGTAAGTTAATGTTATTGATATTCTTGTACAGTTACACATGAAGCTGGGATCACTGTAACTGTCAGATATTGACTTATTTCCCATTTCTATATTTTATTCTTTAGTTTGCTATTCTCCTATAACTATAATGAGAGGGCTCATTTTTCCCCTCAAAACTTAAAATAATTTTGATCATGTTATGTCGTCTTTTATTGCCATCCAATGAAATTGTATATTTTTGGAATGATAATTTAATTAACATGGCCTACAAGACCCTGAAGGAGGAGCTTGTCCTACCCTGATCTGTCTCATCTGAGGCCTTCTCTTACCACCTTATTTTGCACTATTCAAGCTATGGCCTTACCAGCCACTTTTAGTTTTAAAAAAAGAAATCAATTTCCCACTACTTGAAGATTTCAGGAAATCTATTTTTTTTTAACCTGAAATTGTCCTTTCTTCCCTAAGGCCTTAGCTTAATTACTTTCTAATAAAACCTTAGACAATTTTAAACTATAAATTGCTTTTATAATTACCTGGCTCAAAATTCTTAACAGTGATTTTCAAAATGTGGTCCCTGCACCAGCAGCATCAGAATCATCTGGGAACTTCTTATAAATGCAAATTCTCAGGCCTCACATTCAAACTACTGACTCAGAAACCCTGAGGATGAGACCCAGAAATATATTTTAACACTAGCTCAACAGGAGACTCTGATGCTTGCTAAAACCTGGGAGACCTTTTAGTCACAGCTGGAGCTGAAATAGGTGGAACACAGGGCACCATGTCCCAAGGCTGCATAGAGTAGGGGGACCTGGGCCCAGGCCACAAAATAATTTTTTTCTCCTAGGCCTCCAGGCCTGTGATGGGAGGGGCTACCATGAAGGTCTCTGACATGCCCTGGAAACATTTTCCCCACTGTCTTGGTGATTAACATTTGGATCCTTGTTACTTATGCAAATTTGTCCAGCAGGCTTGAATTTCTCCCCAGAAAATGGGGTTTTCTTTTATATCATATTGTTGGGCTGCAAATTTTCCAAACTTTTATGCTCTGCCTCCTCTTGAATGCTTCACCATTTAGAAATTTCTTCTGCCAGATGCCCTGAATCATATCTCTCAAATTCAAAGTGCCACATATCTCAATGGCAGGGTAAAATGCTTCCAGTCTCCTTGCATAGCAAGTGACCTTTACTCCAGTTCCCAGCAAGTCTCTCATCTGCATCTGAGACCACTTCAGCCTGGACTTCATTGTCCATATCACTATCAACATTTTGGTCAAAGCTATTCAATTAAGTCTCTAGGAAGTTCTAAACTTTCCCACATCTTCCTGTCTTCTGAGCCCTCCAAGTCTCTATGAATTTCCAAACGTTCCCACATTTCCTTGTCTTCTCATGAGCCCTCCAAATTGCTCCAGCATCTGCCTGTTACACTGTTCCAAAGTTGCTTCCACATTTTAGGGTGTCTTTACAACAGCACCTCACTGTCTGCAGTACCAACTTACTGTATTAGTTCATTCTCACATTGCTATAAGGAAATACCCAAGACTGGGTAATTTATAAAGGAAAGAGGTTTTATTGACTCACAGATCCACATGGCTGGGGAGGTCTTGGGGAACTTACAATCATACTAGAAGACAAAGGATGAACAATGCACTTTCTTCAGAAGGCAGCAGCAGGAAGAAGTGCAGAGTCAATGAGGGAGAAGCGCCTTATAAAATAATCAGATCTTGTGAGAACTTACTAAATATTATGAGAGCAGCATGGGGGAACTGCCCACATAATCTAATCACCTCCCACAATGTCCCTCCCACGACATGTGGGTACTATGGGAACTACAATTCAAGATGAGACTTGGGTAGGGGCACAGCCAAACCATACTAGCTTTGAGCTATTAAGATGAAAATATCCTGGAATGGGGGAAGGGCTAGGGAGAACGTGGCCAGGTCACCAGGTGGGGTGCTAAGCAAAATGTAGGTTTCTGTCCCAATAAAAACCCCTCTGAATCAGACTCTTTTGGAGTTAATCCCTGGAATCTAGTAACTGAGATTAATGTAGCAAATTCACCAAATGATTCCTGTGCATAATTATGTTTTAGAAAAATTGAACTAGAGTAGTTTTGCATACCATGGTCAATGCAATGGAAGACCATCTGAATATGTAAAATGTTTTGCTTTAAATTATTCTCCCTACAGGACATGTAAAGGAAAAATTGAAAAAAGCTAGAATAGAGACTTGAAAGAAAAATTTTGCCTATTTTAATAGTAGAGGTAAGGATCTATGACTCCTCACCTAATTCTAGTATTATCAGTAGATATGAAAGGAAGAAAATAGTTTGGAAAAATGTTAAGAATGTAAAATCAACAAAATTTTGGTAACAGAAACATGGAGTTATTAGGGAAAAACAGGATTCTGATGATCCAGATGACTACCAGGTGCCTGAGGTGGAGAACTTGAATAAATGATGAAAATTGTAAAATGTTACACCTAAAAATGGCAGCATAAGAACTTCATTCAGAATAGATTACAATTATTACTTGAGCCCACTCACTGTAATACTGGAGGGTGACATTGCTAAATACAAGTCAAAATTTGTTTACTGAAAATTTTAACAACACCTGGTCTATTAACACACTTTCCGTTTTATTTCCATTGAATATTTTGACTGAGAATTTTTTAAATTATTGGATTAATACCATAGGTTTAATGATATGCTAAATAATTATGTATTCAGCTCATTTATTTGCCTTATGAATTTAAAACCAAATTTGTACCAAAAGCAATCCTTGGTAAAACTATTTCCAAACTATACAATTAAAATTTATTAGAAATAATACTAAAATAATATATAGGAACATAAACTATTTTTATGCCAACCTTTTTGTAAATTTTTTGGCAATAGGTAAAAATCGAGACCCTCAAGATAACCTTCTTTGATCTTTTAACATATAAATCCTATTACAATTGAAAACATTGTACTTCATAGCTTTGTACTATCACATTTCTTTTGCTGTTTAAATTTAATAGCATTACCATTTCAGTCATTTTCATGGATTATTCATACTCTTGAATGCCAAGGTTATTCTCAGAGATAAATCATTAAGTGTCTAGTTCTCAGAAAACCTAGAATTAGGAGTTATATTTTGATGCTATGTTAAATTAGGAAGAAAAGGTACAAAAAATAACTATTTCATTTGTAACTGAATTATATAAACTTATTTATTTTGTGTCTGTGTAAACTCCATTTTAATAAATGGCATTTTTAACATTTGTTTATACATTAATTAAACCACTCTCAAGTTTATTTTATTTCCAATTTAAATGTGAAAGATACATATGTGTATGCACACCTGTGTGTGTGTGTATTGTGATATTTTTCATATCAACATGCTAGATTCCTAAAAATATTGAGTCACTTATTTTTATATGAGCTTTTATTTCCTTAAAGACTTAAAATATAAATTATCCCTTTAAAATTTCAATTATGAGCCTTACATAAACATATTTTAAGTCTATACATTTTCCTGAGTACAGATTTCACTATTCCATAGGTTTGCCTATGTAGTGTCCTTCTCATTACGTTCTAGAAAATTTTTAAATTTCTTTTAATTTTCATTATGTTCTGTAGTAATGGTTCTCAAATGTTAGCATGTATCTCAGTCACGCAAAGCTTGTTAAAACACATATTTCTGGGCTCACTCTCAGAGATTATAATTCTGTAGATTTGGGTCAGACCCAATAATCTGCATTTTTCACCAACTCCCATATAATCTAATGCTTTTGAAGCAGGGACCACCACACTTTCAGGAACCACCACTGAAGGATTGCCTAGCAGTGCTTTTCTTCATTTGCATGTAAAAAATTTTGTTTGTTTGCTTTTGGTTAATTTTATTATTGATTTTTAGAGGATTGACTTTTCCTCAAAAATTGAGCTCACGCTAGGCATCTCAGGGACAAGTGAGACAAGGAACACATGTGAGGGCTAATTCTTCTCCATGGCACCTAGCTCTGCCCTGTGAATAATAGACCTAACACTACTTTTTACCTGAGAAGAATAGTACAGTGTATTTATCAATGACCTTAGTTAATTCAGGAATGAATGGCTTCCTTTTGTAAGTTAGGAGTGTGGTATCTGGTTGAACTATAAATCTAGCATTGAGTACTAATTGTATGTGAAGTTATTGTTTATAATCTTTCAGAAATTTCTTGTATCTATGTGATTTCACGTAATTCTAATGGTGAAATATTCATATATAATTGTTTTATCATCAAAAGTGTCCATAGCTATGTAACTTTTGTTGAAAATTATGCTCAGAATTCATCTTTAAGCACTAGATTCTTAAAAAACATTTTTAACTGTTTTTTTTTTCCTTCACATGGCAAGACAATGTATGCAACTTGGCAAACATGCAGTTTATTTTATTTATATTGAACCATCTGGTTGCTGGACAGTTTGAGGCTTTTGTTCCCACTGTTAACACATCTATCTAAAGAAATTTTTTTGACAAGCTGCTCTTGAAAAGTATCGCCAATTAGTTTTAACTTCACCAAATGAATGACTACCTGATGAATGCCATCTCAGAACACATAATTTCTTGAAAATTTAGCAGTTATAAAGGAATTCACAAAGACAGTAATTAAAATTAGCAGAAAAAGGCAAACTGCTTCAACTTGGTGTCTTCAACAAAAACATATCCTTATATGTTAATGATGGCTTTCAGTGAAATTTTCAAGAACATTTCTACATATAGTGTAAATCTTCTTCTTTTATTTCCCAACTCAATCTTCTAAAATGAATGAAAATAGAGTGCAGTGTTAGCATTTCAGAAAGGAATAACATAAGGTTATCTTAATATTGGAATTATTTATATCTCTCTTTTATTCTAAAATGCTATTTATTGTAGCAGTGGTATGGCATCATTGTTAAGTTCTCTGTATCTAAAATTTGAAGAATAATGTAGAAGCATAAATAAGTCTGATGTGAACTAATTGGAACTAATGACCAGTTAAGTCATATTTCAAACTCAATGCATAGACATTAACATTTTTCTCAGTATAAAGTATATATAGGCAGAGGGAAGTGAGAAATACGCCTTAGCAGAGAAAGACAGGGGTAAAAGGTATTACCAATTTAACACGTGGGACTACAGGGCATGGTGGCACGCGCCTGTAGTTCCAGATACTTGGTAGGCTGAGGGATGAGAAACACTTGAACCCGTGAGGCAGAGGTTGCAGTAAGCCAAGATCACGCCACTGCACTGCAGCCTGGGCAACAGACTGAGACCATGTCTTAAATAAATAAATAAATAAATAAATAAATAAATAAATAAATGTATTTTTCAGAGTCTATTTGAAATAGCCTTTCAACATTTAAATTGTGCTACAGCAACAAAATTGATAGCACATAATTTCAATTAGAGTATACAAAATATGTTATTTTCACATAACTACAAAATATTTCTAAATAGAATGTTCAATGTCGAGCACTAGTGAAATATGTGTTGTTAATTTCTGTTTGTATTATTCATTGATTTTTTAATGGTTTATAAGAATTAACCATTTCTTATATAGATCAGTCAGTGAAATAAATTTTAAAACGGAATAAAAGTTTTTAATGTAAAATAATAAATTGCATGTGGGAGAAAAGGTGAAGTTGAATACTATCCATATCAGACAATGGAAGACAGCTAAAGCAAAACTTAAGGCAAATTTTGAAACAAAAGGAAAAAACAAAGGCAATCAATGTATTAATTTGAAATAGGAAGTACAGAAAGCAAGTGAAAATGAAAGGCATTTAGCTAATTTTTCCAAATGGCCATCCAGGCGTCTTAAAACTATATATTCTTAAGTTTTTTCCAAAGGCAATATATTGCGTATTATATTTAATTAATTTAATTAAACTTGCTCAATTTTATTTTATTTCATATAAATATAATACATTTCTAAATAGTTATTATGTATACTTTTATCATATAATACATCTTTCTCTATTTTTGGATATCAGTCTACTTTTGGATTCTCCATTATCAGCCTATTTTAGGATTCTCCATTATTTTCATGGGTCAATGCCACATTATTTTAATTATAGAGTTTTCATAGTTATTGTAGTATGTGGTAAGGCTATTGCCTTCCTTATATATTTTCCCTTTAAGGACATGCATAGCTATTCTTGCATGTTTATTTCTCCATGTAAGTTTAGTATCAACTTAAGTAGCCCCATTTAAAAAAGAACTTTGGTATATTTATTAGAATTGCATTAAATCTAACAAATCTCTTAAGTCAATTTCTTTTTTCTTTTCTTTTTTTTTTTTTTTTTGAGACGGAGCTTCACTCTGTTGCCCAGGCTGAAGTGTAATGGCGTGATTTTGGCTCACTGCAACCTCTGTCTCCCGGGTTCAAGTGATTCTCCTGCCTCAGCCTCCTGAGTAGCTGGGATTACAGGTGCATGCCACCACACCTGGCTAATTTTTGTATTTTTAATAGAGATGAGGCTTCACCATGTTGGTCAGGCTGGTCTCAAACTGGAGACCTCAGGTGATCCACCTGCCCTGGCCTCCCCCAAAGTGCTGAGATTACAGGTGTGAGCCACCACGCCCAGCAAAGTCAAATTTTTTTCTTTTTTTTTTCCCCACAAATTTTATTTGCCTTATTTCTACACATCATAATGTTCATTTAAGACGTGTAATTCCCAGACTCCCAAACTTTATATACCTGTTTTAGCAATGACACGTCTTTTCATGGACTTTGGCATTTCATTCATTGCACAGTGAAAAGAAGAATGTATAGTCAAGGATAACTAGAAATAGAATGACAAAAATTATCACTCATTAAAAAGTAAACACCACTGAGATAGCTCAACTTATTTTATTAGGATGCTAGTAAGTCAGTATTTGTCAACAAGCCAAAAACAGACCATAACATACATTTTTGGAATGTTCTAAACAATATTTTATAGTATAAGTATTTTCTTAAATATACTTCTATTTACCACATTAAAACATTCTTTTAAATTTTCACTTCCAAATATTAGTATATTTTTAGCTACAAATATTTTGACTAAAATAATATGATTAAAATAAATTGTAATATTTCCTATTCTTGTGAATTGTTAATTCTGAAAATACTGATGCATTTGGTAGTGACTGGTTTAAATCAGGAAGCAAATGTAAATTAATGCTACAGAATTTATCCCATGATCTCTTGAAATTGGCAAACAAAATTGCTTTAAATATTAATGAATAAGGCATTATGCTTAAGGAAGTAACTCTAGTCATAAAAATTTAAAATATAATTTATTTATAGAATAATAAAAATTATGTATAATATAAACAAAAGAAGTTACACAGCAAAACAACTCACAAAATACATGATGAATTAATCTGTTGTTTTTTATATTAATAAAATATTCATATTTCATTCCACCTCTCAAACATACAGTGTCAGTGTAAAATTGCCTTATTCACTAATGATGAAGTCAAAATATCTTAATTATTAATATGAAACACACAGGCTGTTCTTACAATTTAATGTTTGAATTAGAATTTCTAATTTAAAAAAATCACGTACTATATGAAAATATATTACTAAAAATATCGTTAAGTTCTACATTTTCTACTGTGAGTTAGATGATAAATAATATTTTTCAATCAGTTTGAATTAATGGTTGACATAACCTGATACTAAAATATAGCAAACAATCTAATAGAACTATACATATCTATGTATTTATACACACTCATAAATACAAAACATAATTATGTTTGATTCATTTCTGTAAAATTTAACTTATGGAACTCACCTCTGTCTGCTCAGTTGGCTTGAGCCTTTGGTTCTATTTCATTGAAAGAACTAGGGAGATTATTGCAAGTTATTTTAGCACAAAGTGCTAATTCTCTAAAAATGAGATCCATGAAATTTAATTTTCTTATCAAGAAACACAGTCTAAGATAAAGGAAACAAAAGCTATAATTTTTTAGCAGGAAGAGGAAGTGACTATTGCAAAAACCAAGTTTGTAAGTTGCATTCAAAATTACTGCAAATTCTCTTATTTATGTCTGCCTTCCAGAAACATTTTTTTCTACTGGCTGAATATACTGAATTATAATTGCACTGGTCAGTGATCTGGCTACTTCAATATAAATTAAACAAACAAGTTATATTTTTTGAAGTCTTGGCTCAAATATTATTACCATCCATATGCATAGCCTGATTACTCTTTTAGTCATTGTAACGAACACCACACATATATACACGAAAAATTAAGCTGGATTATTTTATTTTTTTTGTCATGTTTATCACATTTTAAACTAGCATATAATTTACCTGTTTATGATGTTTATAGTTTTTAATCTGACTAATTTTTTGAGATTGTAACGGCCATGAAGGCAGGTCATTTTATTCTGCCTTATTTACAGATTTTTATCTCAAGAACTTAGAACAGTCTCTGGCACTCAGTAAATATTTATATATAAATAAGTAGTATACTACAAGGGATGGTAAAGGACTCAAACAATCCACATAATCTATATATAGATTTAAGCAACTTTCTATCACTTTAAAAATCCTGCACTATTTCCTTAATGATAAATTATGGGAAAATGAAAATTTATAAACCTCAAACGTAAGAGTTTAATGGGGTAATAATTTGGTGCATTCCAAATTGGACAACTACTGATTGGCATAACAAGCAGGTGAGAACAGTTGTTAAAATTCAATCTAAGTGATGGTAACCAAGATTGGGTATGATCCATTTTAAGAAGGAAGTGAAAAGAGAAAAAGTTTAAATTCAGAAGGAATATGGAGATATCAGATTAGTAGGATGGTAAAGCAAAAGCCTACTGAGTGAGCACTTTGTTTTTGTTTGAGTGAACAAAACTATTAAGTGTGCAATAGCATTATGTCTAAAAACAATTTAGATACCTTAATTAAGAATACTTTATTATTTAAAATATTAAAAAAATAATCTGAGCTGCCAGTGAGTTGTAATCATTTTGCTGATGAAAGGTTTTGCTTCAATGTTGATAGCTATTGACTGATCAGGGTAGTGGTTGCTGAAAGTGGGGGTGGCTGTGGCAACTTTTTAAGATAAGGCAGCAGTAAAGTTTGCTGAATTGATTGACTTTTCCTTTCACAAAAGATTTCTCTTTGGTAGCATGTAATGCTATTTGTGCATTTTACCCACAGTAGAACTTCCCTCAAAATTGGAGTCACTCCTCTCTGACCCTGAAGCTACTTTATCAACTAAATTTATGTAATATTCTAAATCCTTTATTGTCACTTTAATAATGCTCACATCTTTACAAAGAGTAGATTCCATCTTAGGACACCGCTTTGATCATTCATAAGAAGCGACTCTTCATCCATTCAAGTTTGATCATAAGATTGCAGCAATTCAGTCACATCTTCAAGCTTCACTTCTAATTCTAGTTCTCTTGCTCATTCCACCACATCTACAGTGACCTCCTCCACTAAAGACTTGAACCCTTAAAAGTCATTCATGACTTAGTCCATGGGCTACGAATAAGATGTTGTGTTAGAAGGCATGAAAACATTGATTTCCTTGTACATCTTTACTAGCGCTCTGGAGTGATTAGGTACATTATCAATGGACAGTAATATTTTGGAATATTTTCCTCTGAGCAGTAGGTCCCAACAGTGGGCTTGAAATATTCAGTAAACCATGCTATAACCAGATGTGCTGTTATCCAGGCTTTGTTGTTTCATTCACAGAACACAGTCAGAGTAGATTTAGCATAATTCTTAAGGGCCCTAGCATTTCAGCATGATAAATGAGCACTGGTTTCAATTTGAAGTCATCAGCTGCATTACCCCTTATTAAGACAGTCAGCCTGTTCTTTGTAGCCTTGAAGCCAGGCATTCACTTCTTTCTACCTATGAAAGTCCTAGATGGCATCTTTTTCCAACAGAAACTACTTCATCTACACTGAAAATTTGTGGTTTAGTGTAGTCTTCATCAATTATCTTAGGTCGTTTGGAGCTGCAACTTCTATATCAGCACTTGATGTTTTACTTCGTATTTTTATGCTATGGAGATGGCTTCTTTCCTTTGACCTCATGAACCAATCTCTGTTAGCTTCAAACTTTTCTTCTGCGGTTTCCTCACCTCTCTCAGCCTTAATAGAATTGAAGAAAGTTGGTGCTTTGCTCTGGATTAGGCTCTGGCTTAAAGGAATGTTGTGACTGGTTTGAATCTTCTGTCCAGACCACTAACAATTTCTCCACATTAGCAATAAGGCTATTTCGCTTTCTTATTTGTGTGTTTGCTGGAGTACAGCTTTTAATTTACTTTAAGTACTTTCCCTTTGCTTTCGCAGTTTGGGTAACTCTTTTGTGTAAGAGGCTTAACTTTCAGGTTATCGTGGCTTTTGGCATGTCTTCCTAACTAAGCTTAATCACTTCTTCCTTTTGATCTAAAGTGAAAGATATGTCATTATTTCATTTGAATACGTAGAGGCCATTGTGGGATTATTAATTGGCCTAATTTCAACATAGTAGTGTTTCAGGGAATAGGAAGGCCTGAAGAAAGGGAGGGAGACGGAGAATGGCTGGTTAGTGGAGCAGTCAACACACACAGCTTTTATTGATTAAATTTCATTGCCTTATATGGGTGCAGTTTGTGGTACCCCCAAACAATTACAGTAGCAACATCAAAGATCACTGATTGCAGATCATCATAAACAATATAATAATAATGAAAAAAATTGAAAAATTACCAGAATTACCAAAATGTGACACAGACATGAAATGAGCACATGCTGTTGGAAAAATCATGCTGAAAGACTTTCTTGATGCGGGGTTGCCAAACATTCAATTAATAAAAAAATGCAATATTTTTGAATTGAAATAGTGATTTGCAATAAAATAAGGTATGCTCATACTTGAAATAAATATGTTCAGAAAGATACAACATGATATGGTGAAATCTGTCTCTGAAATTTAAACACAGCAAAGATTTAAATGTGTATCTGTGCTGTCTAAAAGAATATGCCAAATAAATTTAAAGTATGACAGCATTTTAAATGAGATATCTAAGCTAATTACGATAATAATTGTTTTGAAGAAATTATAAGAAAATCTATCTTTTACCACTTTCTCTTTTTCATCTTTGGTCAGACTATTGGGATTTTTATCACTATAATGTACCATATCCTTTGAACTTCAGGGACTCTGCTCTTACTGCTTGTCTGGCTGAAATACTTTTTTCTCCATAGTTCTGCCTAATTTCCATTATTTTTCTCTCAGTTCACATGTTCACCCCTCTTGAAAGGCTCTTGTGAGCATTCCAGCTAATGTAGTACCACTCAAACCCTCCCTCTATCAGTTTATATTTCCTTCATAAATTATGTAACTATGTAGTTAAACATATTTAAAATACATTTATTCATTTATATTATTTTCTGTCTCTTCATCTGCCCTTTCATAAAAATATAAGTTCCACTATAGTTTAAAAGTTATTTTCTTCCTGTCTTATTCACCAAAATATTCCCAGTACCCATAACAATACCTGGGACATAATTGGCATTCAATGCATTATTCTTGAATCGATGAATTATTCTGGTAAGTCCATTAATTCTGATTTCAGGAAGAGCAACTTGCCACAATACCATAGAGAGGTTTTGTTGATGTAGTCCATGTTAATATTTCCACATCAGAATAAAAAACCTGTATTTTGTTTTTGAAAAAGTTACATAAAAAGACTCAAAAAATACAGAAGCTGTCCCAGTAATTTATGCATGTTGAAGTTTTAGTTTATTATATGTAAAAATATGAACATGAAAATAATTGACATCATTAATATATACATATTATTATAAAAGTTGATTCCATTTACTCTTTAAAAAATGTGTTAAACTACAGATTTGGTATAGTATTTTATAACAGAGAAGATAAGCCAGGCAAGATCATTCAAGCAAAATTAATTGATGAATTACCAAGGAATCTTGTTATACTGTTAGTCTGTATACCAACGATTGTTTTATGCCCTTATCATATCAAATAGATTTTAGGCAGATTTACACGTGCACACACACGTACACACACACACACTTTCCTATTAAATATTTTTTTGAAACTATTCATCTAGATCAGTGGTCTCAATT